>NC_000006.12:18241818-18393333 GCF_000001405.40 Homo sapiens
GCTGTAGGCTGGACTTGGCATACAGGCTACACTGCCTGCTGATTCCTAGATTTTGAATTATTGGAGCTATATACAGTAAAGGCAGGAACCAGACAAAGCAATCAACAGGACAATTCCTCCAATTATCAAGTTTTTAATAGCTTTTAGTTTTAAGTTCTGATAAGCACAAGTGGATTTATACTCATTAACTTTCTTAAAGCTATTGCTTAAAATCAAATTTTGATCTAAATCAGGAATTCTAGAGAGAACTCTGAAGATAGAAGTACATAAACAAGAAGCTTTAGAAAGAATAGGAAGCCATGCACGGTGGCTCAACCCCGTAATCCCAGCACTTTGGGAGGCCAGGAGTTCGAGACCAGCCTGGCAACATCGTGAAACCCCGTCTCTACAAAAAATTAGTCAGGCGTGGTGGCATGCACCTGTGGACCCAGCTACTAGGGTGGCTGTGCCACGAGAATTGCTGAACCTGGGAGGTGGAGGTGGCAGTGAGTATCGATCGTGCCACTGTACCCCAGCCTGGGCAACAAAGCAAGACTCTGTCTCAAAAAAGAAGAAAGAATAATACGGCAGTCTCCCTTTATCTATGGTTTCTCTTTCTGCATGTGGTTTCAACTACCTGTTGTCA
Source organism: Homo sapiens (assembly GCF_000001405.40). NCBI lineage: Eukaryota > Metazoa > Chordata > Mammalia > Primates > Hominidae > Homo > Homo sapiens. The sequence goes on from NC_000006.12 coordinate 18,242,444, forward strand.
ACCATAGTCTGAAAATATTAAATGGAAAATTCCAGAAGTAAACAACTCATAAATTTAAAATTGCATGCTGTTCTGAGTAGTGTGATGAAATCTCATGTCATCCTGCTCACTCCTGCCCGGGATGTGAATCATCCCTTTGTCCAGCATATCCACACTGTAGATGCTCCCAGAACCTTGGCCCATTAGTCACTAGCAGCCATCTTGGTTATCCTATCAACTGTTGCAGTATCATTGTGCTTGTGCCCAAGTACCCTTATGTGACTTAATAATGGCCCCAAAGCCCAGAAGTAGTAATGTTGGCAATTCAAACATGCCAAAGAGAAGCCATAAAGTGGGTTCTTTTAAGTGAAAGCTCTTTACTCAAGGAAAGAAAAAAATCATATGTTGAGGTTTCTAAGATCTATAGTAAGAACAAATCTTCTATATGTGAAATTGTGAAGGGAAAAGAACTTTGTGCTGGCTCTGCTGTCAAACCTCAAACTGCGAAAGTTATGGCCACAGTGCAGGATAAGTGCTTAGTTATGATGAAAAAGGCATAATTTGAGGGTGGGAAACGTGAACAGAAACATGTCCCAAATGACAGCAATCGGGCTTGGCATGATCTGCAGTTTCAGGCATACACTGGGGGTCTTGAAATGTACTCCGTTCAGGTAAGAGGTGACTACTGTGAAGAGAAAGCACTAAAAAAGGTTTCTTATATATTTATTATAACCTCAAATACAAAAATGAGGAGACATACCTCACCTCTCATGGAGTCAAGACTAAATGAGATGCAAGATGTGAAAGCACATGGTATATACACTTTGAATAGTTTCTTCCTTGCAGTTGCTAATAAATGCTTACTGAGTGGTACTTCCTGGAAGACCAGAGGACGTGTCTCATTTTTTTTTTCTCCCACTTAGTAAAATGCTCAGGTATAGAATAAGATAATCATTTTGAATGAGTGAGAATAATGAACCTACCACCAAACATATTAGTCACACAACAATGCCCAGCTTCATGGGTTCTCTATAGCATGGGTTCAACCTACATTACCTTAGTTTCATCTCTCATTGCTCTACTTCTGGGCACACAACTCTAACCACGAGTTAGTCAAAGGCACCCTGCCTTCCCTGTTCCTTATCTTTGTTCACACGTACAACTTTCCTCTCCATTCCCAAGGTCAACTTGAATTGGTAGTACTTCCACTTCTACCCAAAGCCTTTCCTCAAGAGGCATGAAGATTTTCCTTCTTTAGAAATCCTATAATGCTAAGTATCAAATGGCATTTGCTTGGAAAATATCTTCTGTAACCCTAACAGCATTTAGCATACTCCCAATTCACTGACTTGAGCAATCAAAAAGTGGTTACCTCAGAAATCAAAAGCCAGTGGGCAACAGAGCAAGAACCTCTCTCTACAAAAAATTTAAAAATTGCTAGCCACTTGGTGGCAGGATCACTTGAACCCTGGAGTTCAAGGCTGCAGTGAGCCATGATCTCACCACTGTACTCCAGCCTGGGCAACAGAGTAAGACGTACGACTCTGTCTCAAAAATAAGTGAAGTACTGACCCCCATTTTAAGTCTCTTTCAAAATATCTTGAAAACTTTAGTGATTATAATAAAAATTATATGGCATTGAGGAAATAATGTTGAAAATACTCACAATGGTTAACATCTTGTTATTTAACCTAAGTGGAGACAAGACTGAGTCTTTTAACAAAATGGGGGGAAAATTAGGTTAAGTTTTTTTAAAAAAAGAATAAAGAAAAAGCTGATTTCCAAATTGTCATGAGATTTAAAGATTCGAGTTTGCTACTTCTCTATATGCTGAGTGGTTCAATCAGGACCATCAACTATTTCAGATGTTCTAAAGGGGAACAAATAAAAATGAACAGCTGCCATTAATGTCAGATAGTACAATGTACTATAACCTAAATTTTTAAAGGATCAGTAATACAGAAGTTTCAAAAACGTGAAGGGGATTCTCCCTGTCTCTGATAACCATGAAGGTACAGAATCAGAGGAATGACATAAGCACTTTTTGAAGGAAGGCAAAAAAAATCTTGGGAAAGCAAGGCTTACCTATGATTTATAGGCAGCAGGGCTCTTGAAGGAGGGTCTCCAAAAAAGACGCCTGTCACAGAGCCAGAATTCTGTCCTCACAGCAGAAAGGTTGTACTGGGTGAACAGATGAACAAAATAAAAATTAGCTTAAAATACACTATTCTTTCAACAATTTGGCTGAGAAAACTCAGAATGCCAAGAGGAAAGAATGTGCAAGTCTAGTTATATTTCACAGAAGATTATGAAAGCAAGTTTAAATGGGTTTTAGTATGGTGATTATTCAATTCTGCCTTCCAACGAAAGGTTTAAATGGTTTATACAGATTTTGCAATTCCTCTGATCAACGTGTGAGAGGAAGAGATAGTTTAGTTTTCTAAAACACAATGTGAAAGGACTAACAAAACTTTCACATTCACCTTACCACTACCAGATAATCCCTTGAATGGTCCAAATAGATAGTTTACCAAAAATTATAATGGAGTTTCTCTGACTTGGCAAACATTGTAAGATGGCTCACTGAACCACCCACTTTTGATCTGCCTTCCTCTTATAAAGGTAGGAAAGCTGACACCTAGATCTCAGAGCTTCTCTTGCAGTTAGGTGGGCAGACAACAAAGTGCTGGCTGATGCCATGTATATGGAGATCTCTGGTAAAAGGCATCCCATTCAGGGAAAAAAGCCAAAACATCACTAGAAGAAAACCTTTTGCTCTTCCTTATCTGGAACATGAATACAATGTCTAAAGGTAAAACAACCACCTTGTGATCATGAAGTTAATTGCCATATACTAAAGATGAGAGATCAGGAAAGGACAGTACCCACATCCTCAATTCCTTTCTTGAACTGCTGTACTGGCCCTAGAATGTCCCTGTCTGTGGGCTTCTTGTCATGAAAGAAAAATAAACTCCTGTTTCGAACATTATTAGTAAGGCTGACAATTATTTCAGCAGAAAACATTCCTGATAACATATGGCAACATTCAGATAAATTCTAAATACTCGTAAAACTCCACAGTTTGTTTCATACTTTCGAGATACGTATGCGCTATAAAAACACTAGAAAATAAAAATTGAAGACAGAGGTATTAGGATAAGATGAAAAAGAAATAAAATATGCTTTTAAAGAGTCTAAAAGACTGTTAGAATTGTTTTCTCCAATATGTACTATTTCCCCCTTTTTTCTGTACTCTGCAGTAATTTCTCTATGCCTCAAGGTTAACACCTGTGAATAGCATGACCAAATGTGGTTTATGACCAAATGTGGTTTAACCTCAACGGCTCATTGATACGGTTTGGCTCTGTGTCCCCACCCAAATCTCACCTTGAATTGTAATAATCCCCACGTTGTGGGAGGGACCCAGTGGGAGGTAACTGAATCACGAGGGTGGGTTTTTCTCATGCTGTTCTCATGACAGTGAAACAGTCTCACCAGATCTGATGGTTTTATAAAAGGGAGTTGCCCTATACATACCCTCTTGCTTGCTGCCGCGTAAGATGGGTCTTTGCTCCTCATTCGCCTTCCACCATGATTGTGAGGCCACCCCAGCCATGTGGAACTGTGAGTCAACTAAACTCCTTTAAAATTACTCAGTCTTGGGTATGTCTTTATTAACAGCGTGAGAAAGGACTAATACACTCATTTTAGCAATCCTGCCCTGAAGAAGCTAATCCCACATAGGAACCAGCTGATTTTCATAATCAATTTAGAGAAAATAACCTGTTTATTTTCCTATTTCTCATCAAAAGAAAAAAAGAAAATCATCCACCACTTCCTTCCCAATTGCTCTCCTTTTACTGTTCTAAAAAGCCAATGTCCAAGAGACAAGCTAATAAGGAAATTCAAAATGGCTCTTTTATAAAGGGATTTCTTTCTGAAGTTACTCTCACAAAGAATACTCTTTTATTTAATTACAAGGAAAAGAATTGCAAAACTATTGTGACTCACTCACTGCATATCATAAAAACAGAGGTAGAGGTACAGGTACAGAAAACCTCAAACAAGTGCTTTAGCAATTATCAGCTAATATGCTAAATCTGACATTTTCTTTTAAATTACTTTTGTAAAACTGTCATTTCAATTAACTATATGGATTTCAGTGATTTCATCTTAACACTGAATTTACTTATAAACACCTTAGTCTTCTACACATCTAAAGTTAAACATGAAACTAGGAGGAAAATAAATACAATTTAACCTCATATAATTAGCCAAAGGAGAACTATAAACTTACTCGGCTTGCATAAGATTTCTTACTTCAACAATGAATAGAGTATATTTGACTATACAGTTCAAAATCCTCATTTTACAGAGGAAACTGAACAAAGTAAAATCAATCTACCCAAATTCACAGTTATTTACTCCAAGAAAAACAGAACAAGAAGCTGATCTTAATGAATAAGAGTCTTTTATTTATCAAAGAAAAATCTGTGTCAGAAAATAAACAGAATATTAACTCACTAATTTCCTATCATAAAGAAATCTACAGGCAATCCAAAACTTCTGTGACTAACTTGCAACTTTTCTTTATGGCTTCTTAGAAAAGAGGTCCTTCCATAGTAATGACCAAAAATAGCTCCATTTATGAAGTTCCTAACATGGCTGACATTTAGAACTGAGTCTTCATAAAATGGAATAAGGAAAAACAAAGTTGCCACAGATACACTGTTCCTCCTGCCAGAACTTACCTTTCAAAGGCCTTTCACAGAAACTGAATCAGCAATAAAAAGCTGAAGACAGTGCTAAATTTAAAGCAACAATGCTTGTTGGAGAGACATTTATCAGGGAAAAAAAAGGGGGGGAAACAATTTCTCAGTCCAAATTTTATTTTACATTTTATAAAATCTGTCAAGTACTAGCAAAGGTAGCAAAAAAATCCCTCTAATAAAATATGATATAGCTTTTATATTGTGTGATTTCATACACCTAATGTCTGAAAGCATTTTTACATTTTCTTCTCCCATGGATTTTCATCAATTGACCTGGGTTTCTAGTCACAGACCCTAGATTAGGGCACTACAGAAGGTAAAGGTTTGATTTATAGTGAGATGGTTCCACTTGTGATTATTATCCTGGAACCAATATGGGTATAAATCAGGTATCATCTGCATACACCAAGTTCAACTACCTCTACAGAACTATGGGACAACAATTTAGAAAGCGAATTTTAAAAGTGAGTATAAAATGCTCTCGTTTTTTTTTTTTGAGACGGAGTTTCGCTCGTTGCTCAGGCTGGAGAACAATGGTGCGATCTCAGCTCACTGCAACCTCTGCCTCCCCGGTTCAAGCAATTCTCCTGCCTCAGCCTTCCCGAGTAGCTGGGATTATCGGCATGCACCACCACGCCCAGCTAATTTTGTATTTTTAGTAGAGGCAGGGTTTCACCATGTTGGTGAGGCTGGTCTCGAACTCCTGACCTCAGGTGATCCACCCACCTCGGCCTCCCAAAGTGCTGGGATTACAGGCATGGGTCACCATGCCCGGCCTGCCCTCACTTTTTAACCTGCACCTAGTAATGACAAGAAGATTCGATTTAGAAGTTTTACTTGTCATAAAACATCATTTTAATTCTAATAATAATAGCAACTAATACTTACATACTATATGCACCAGGCACCGCTCTAAGTATTTTAAATAAAATCCTTTAATATGACCCTATGAGGCTAATACTATTATCACTCCCCATTTTACAGATGGGAAACTGAGGTATAGTTTAAATAACTTGCTTATACTAATACAGTAATAATCCAATATAGAGGTCAGATTTGAACTCAGTTTCCAGAGCCCATGCTAACGTCTCTATGAAAAAATTAGACATTTATATTCTATGATAATGTTTCGTGCTTTAACTCTGCCCATAAAGAGAGTTTAGGAATCTGAATGGCACACAGTAGACACCAAATATTTCCTGAATGAAGATACTATCAGTTTAAAAATTTCCACTGTTATATATATACATACAAACAAACATGTTTTCCTCCCGGATATCCAATCCATAAAGACCTTAATGCTCAGATTACTTATTTTCCTTTGTGCCAAATATATATTAAGATATTTATGAAGCACCTACTAGATTCGTAACCCTCTTTCTTAAATGATGAAGCATTTCATACTTAGCTTTATAGAAGTCTTTATAAAATTTGACGCTAAAACAAGCATGAATTGTAAATAACTCAAGACAAACATACATACTAAACACCCACACATATCATATAATACCAGAGTTCACTATATCTTTATTCCTTCTAATTCAGTGGAGATGATTCCCTCCTTGTCTCGCCCCAGGGACATTTGACAATGTCTGAAGAACATTTTTGGTTGTCACAAGGGGAGCTTGGGAATATCACCCACAATTAAGAATCATCTGGTCCAAAATGTCAAGTTGACATTATCCAAGTCCCTAAATAAGGCAAGGTTGATTACCCAATCTATAGAGCAAGTTCCAACCTTTGAACGAAAACATCAAAGTTAAAATACAGTCTACCAAAACATCATTAACAATAATAGAAACCCATCTCCTGTACCCACTCTCCATGATCTACCTGACTGAAGAGGTTAACCCTCTTATTTAACTGCTTCAGCAGTTCTCTTCTTCATGAAGTTTCACTTTGGAAACTAAGAGTCTCAACTTTTACAAATACTCCCAAATAAAAGAAAATGACAGGTAATACAAAATTTATCCACTCATTATATAAACTTCAAATGCTGTTTATTCTCACTACATAGTCCCCTAAAGGTTGAGGGGGGGAAAAAGGCCCTTAAGTCCCTTGCTTTTTCCGTAAAATAAAATGATCCAAGTCAATTATAAAGTATCAATATATTACGAAAAAAATCCTCGAAGAATCTGCTCCTATGTGGTCCTATTCAGGATATGCACCACTTCCGCTTCCCTTCCCATTTATCTACTCTAGTCTTCAACGTCCAGCTCAAGGCCCACTTCAAATCCAGTCCACACCAACCTCACTCTTTTCTGACTCATACTCTGACATGGTAATGAAACTAAAAGCTCTTTAAGGAAAAGAAATGGGTTCATACTTAATCATTTCTGCATCTTCAGAATTAAAAACAACCAATAAGGAAGTGTTTTCTGGCTGTACCTTATAGCAGAAATATTTAACTCTCCCCATGGAAAGAAATGATTTAAAAATATAGTAAAATATTTTACCTCCTCTTCACTTTCTTTATCTTCATCATCTGAAGACTCTTCCTTGTTTTTCTTTTCATCTTCATCACTACTAGATTCATCTGACAGAATTTCAGGACATTTGGTTCGCTTAGCCTTCCTTGCCATTCCAGAACTGTTCCGTTCCTTTTTACTGCCTTTGCTACAAGTTTTTTTAGATTTCGGCAATGGCTGCATAAAAATTTATAAAGATAACACCAATGAGGTATAATATTTCAATCAATTCTCTTCTTGAAAACTTATCAACTCAATTTCTTATTCCTCTCTCAAGAAATTGTATTTACAAGCCCAGCAGCTTTGCAGAGAATAATCTTTAACCGTGTCAGGTTAACCTAAAACTGTGTTACTAATACCATTTGTGTTCTAAACACCTAGCAAGACCCTTCTCAATTGTAGAGAAATATGTATTCTAGGTTCTGACATGGGACTAGAAGCTCAAGACACATTATGTTAAGCTCCAACGGCTGTTAATACTTTGTCATGATAATATTTTAAGTTAGATTTGTAATTTATTTCATCCCTACAAGCATTAAAACTGTCACTGCCAACCCAGCACTTTGGGACGCCGAGGCGGGCAGATCATGAGGTCAGGAGATCGAGACCATCCTGGCTAACACGGTGAAACCCCGTCTCTACTAAAAATACAAAAAATTAGCCGGGCGTGGTGGCGGGCGCCTGTAGCCCCAGCTACTCGGGAGGCTGAGGCAGGAGAAAGGCGTGAACCCAGGAGGCAGAGTTTGCAGTGAGCCGAGATCGCGCCACTGCAGTCCAGCCTGGGCAACAGTGTGAGACTCCGTCTCAAAAAAACACAAAAAGCAAAAAACAAAAAACTGTCACTGCCAAAGAAGCTCCTTGCTTTAGAAGGCCCAACACTCCAATCGAAGGAATGGGAGAAAAACCTTTTTTTTTTTTTTTTTTTTTTTTTTTTGAGACAGAGTCTCATTCTGTTGTGCAGTAGCTGGGATTACAAGTATGCACCATCACGCCCAGCTAATTTTTGTATTTTTAGTAGAGACAGTGTTTCACCATGTTGGCCAGGCTGGTCTCAAACTCCTGACCTCAAGTGATCCACCCACCCTGGCCTCCCAAAGTCCTGGGATACAGGCATGAGCCACCACGCCTGGCCCATAAAAAAAATGTATAACTTTATTACCAATTATACATCCTGAATTTATGAATGAACTATACGGTTTATATTCATTACTTCTGGCCTCTACTTTCAACAATGTCAGGCTCATATTATCACTGATGCCTATAAGTATACAATAAATGATAAGTATGTTAATTATGAAACTAAGAATATGCTGCTATTATTCTGATAATCAATTAAACCATGTATATTAAAAGCAGAGATCACCTGATGAAAATGAGTTGATTACAGTAAACAATAAATTTAATTTTTAAGTGCTTTCTCAAGGAAGTTTTGCTAAATTCTAAAATTGAAAACCATAAAATTACCTAACATCAAGAATGTTAAAATGCGCATTACAGAATTAATATTTATTTCTGGGATTGAGCATCTTTTATATTCTTTTATTTCTACCTTTGTTACTTTATTTTCTGCAATAAGCAGAAACATTAAGGTAAAATTCCATAACATAACCTTAAGGTATCCAATTGTGTAAATGTTTGTGATAACTTTAGGCAATATTTTTCTTGCAGAGACTAGAACGACAGGTCCTTTACCTCCCAGGAACCTCCAGTCTAGGGGTCACTGTCACCTACACAAAAATTAAGAAAAAGTGGCTGCTTTGTATAATATGGTACTCTTGAGCTCTCTGCAAAGAAACCACAGGATAACCTAGATTGCTCCAACAACGTACCCTTCTAAAGGCACACTAGGAAACAGCAAAATTAGGTCACTCCAGGAACTTGAAGTTGGTGGATCAAAGACATTTCTCAGAGAAGATTCTCTATAAGAAATCGTGAATGCATACACATATCCTTGCTATGTGAGATACTACCATTAACAACTATTATCAGAACCTTAATCCATGTGGATAAATTCTTTGATAGCACCGTTTGGAGAAAAGGTAACTCTCACTGTCCAAGCTCTTACTACTTGTTACATGATCTCCAGGTCTCAAATGTATTAGAAAAACATAATATCCCTCACAATCTCAGCTCAGAAACCAGACACAGGTAGCAAGGATGTAATCTGTATATCGAATTATTAGTATGAGGACTGAAACAGGTTCTGGATAAATCTATCCAGGAAAGTGAAAAGATGTTAAGTTATTCAAGCAGCCAATAAAAAAAAAAATGCAATTCCCAAAAGTAAACGAGGAGTTTTAAAACCAAAATCCAAAAAGTAGTAATATACAAATGCCTTAGAGTTTTCCTATACTACTCCAAAAATAGTTAAATCTATTAATCAAAATCCAGTGTCAACAGCATTATCTCTTTTTGGAAACAAAATCTGATTAACAAATAAAATAAGGTAAAGTACAATAGAAGGATAGGAAAGCAATCAATGATTAATGTTGTGTTGATTAAACCATTGAGAAATTGTTAAAGAGGAGAAAAAGGAAACTTCTTGTAGCATAGAAAATAGCTCTAGGCCAGACATAGTGGCTCATGCCTGTAATCCCAACACTTTGGGAGGCCAAGGTGAGAGGATCACATGAGCTCAGGAGTTTGTGACCATCTTGGACAATATAGTGAGCCCTTGTCTCTAAGAAAATGTAAAATTTAGCCACACATGGTAGCATACACCTATAGTCCCAGTTACTTGGGTGGCTGAGGTGAGAGGATCACCTGAGCCCAGGAGGTCAAGGTTGCATTGAGCCATGATTGTACCACAACACTCCAGTCTAGGCAACAGAGTAAAACGCTGTCTCCAAAAAAAAAAAAAAAAAAAAAAAAAAGAAAATAGCCTGAGCTCGATACTATCAGATTAAGGAGTAATCATCACAGAATCACATATGAAAAACTGACATAAGAGTTAAGATTCTATATGACAAGAAAAAACAGATTCTCACAGTGTGGTTCAAGGACTTTGGGGTTTCCTGAGACCTTTTTCGGAGTCTCCGAGGTAGAAACTATTTTCATAATAATAGCAACACTATTTATCTGCTCTTTTCACTGTGTTGACATTTGTACTAATTGCAAAAGCAAAGGAAAGCAAAGGTGGGTAAAATTGATGGCACCTTAGTACTAATCAAGGAAGCAACATATATTAGTCACTGTATTCCTCACAACCACACACCAGCAGAAACAAACAAGGCAAATGGTTTCACTTAATAATGTCCTTGATAAAACAATAAATACTGTGTTAACTCTCAAGTACATGTCTTTCTAATATCTGTGACAAAATGGAAGATATACATAAATATGGCTACAACTGAAGTTCAATGGTTTTCTGAAGGAAAAGCATTTGTGTATCTGAGTTGTGAGCTAAACACGCTCCAAGCTCCTTTTTCATAGAACCCCACATTTTTTTTTTTTTTTTGAGACAGTCTCGCTCTGTCGCCCAGGCTGGAGTGCAGCAGCACGATCTCGGCTTACTGCAAGCTTCACCTCCCAGAGAACACCACTTTTTAAAAGAACAAATATGGCTAACTCAGACTTAGGTATTTGATAGAGATGTTTTCAAACATGAACAAGGTGAGCTTGTCACTTCAAGGAAAACTGAGAGCATTTATCGCCAATGATAAACGTTATGATTTCAAGTGGGAACTAGAATTCTGGAAAATTCACATCTACTACTGTGAACTTGATAGTTTACCAAGGCCTAAGTAATTTTTCTGATGAGATGATATTTATATTAATGAGCATGATTTAATGACAGTGTTCAATAAAACGTCAACATTTGGAAGACATAATTCAGGGAACCAATATTTACAAGCGGTAAATGCATGTTACAAAACTATACATACAAGACCCAAGTTAATTAACCTGGTTTCAGACCTACATTAAACATTACAACTAATCTTTAGGAAACTACAACTTATGTAGAGTTTTGGTATTGTATGGTATCAAAAAGAGAATATACACAATTATCTAAAAAGACTTTAAAAATATTCTTTTTATGTGAGGCTCGGTTTTCTTCATATACTTATTATTTTGAGAGAGGATCTCATTCTGTCACCTAGGATGGAATGCAGTGGCATGAAAATAGCTCACTGCAGCACTGACCTCCTGAGTTCAGGCTTCCACCTCAGCCTCCCAAGTGGCTGGGATTACACGAGCGTGCCTCAGCGCCTGGCTAATTTCTTCTTGAGACAGTCTCACTCTGTCACCCAGGCTGGTCTTGAACTCCTGAGCTCAAGTGATCCACCTGCCTCGGCCTCCCAAAGGGCAGGGATTACAGGCATAAGCTACTGCATCAGGCCCTTCATAGATTTTAAACAAAACAATACATTGCAAAAGACTGAATGCGGCCAGGCACGGTAGCTCACGCCTGTAATCCCAGCACTCTGGGAGGCCGAGGCGGTCAGATCACCTGAGGTCAGGAGTTCGAGACCAGCCTGGCCAACATGGCAAAACCCCGTCTCTATTAAAAAGACAAAAATTAGCCAGGTATGGTGGCACACGCCTATAATCCCAGCTACTGTAGAGACTGAGGCAGAAGAATTGCTTGAACCTGGGAGACAGTGGTTGCAGTGAGCAGAGATTGTGCCACTGCACTCTAGCCTGGGCAACAGAGTGAGAATCTGTCTCAAAACAACAGTAACAACAACAGTAACAACAACAACAACACAAAAAGACTGAATGCAGAAGCAAATGGTAATCAAGCTGTTTTCTCTTAAGCCAGACATTAAACAGATGTACAAAAACATAAAATGCCACTCTTTCATTCTTTTGAAAAGTTATTTTTCCTAGAAAATATTATTTTTAACATTTTAAAATAAAAATTTTTCAGTTCTAATGTCAAATACAGTGAAGATCAAAATAACTCATATTAAAAAAAGCTCTTGGGGTCCTCACTAATTTTTTAAGAGGGCAACAGTATCCTGAAACCAATAAATTGGAAAACCACTGAGAAAAAGATAAATATAAAAATATCTGTCATAACAACCTAGTAAATTGCTTCTGAGGAAATAGTGATCACCTTGCCTCACACTAAATCCTTAAAAAGTACAAGTATAGCTATAGTAAAAGTTAGAAAATAAGAAGTATTTTGTCTTTAAACAAGCCAATTTAAAACACCAAAAATCATCATACCCCTTGCGTTTGTAGTTGTATAACAAAAGTTTACACTTTAACTGCTGTTTATCTGTCCTCGTGCAGCTAATGGTAATAAGGACCAAGGGCGGACGAAAACGAAGTCCTAGAGCTATTTTCTGGTTTTGATTAATGCCATCTCCCATCAGAGATGGCATTCCCCTGAACTCCTAGGCCTGCTAGATCTCTCACACTTCCTTTCCTGTCAAGATGGGGAAGAATATAAAAACATTTGCTGACAGACCTAAATCACACTAAAAAGGCAAGGTCATGTAACACTTCAACAGACATTTTAAGTCACCTATGTCATTCGTTACCATTAAATAATTAGGGCAAACCTACTAGCTTTTAGGAAGAGTGAGAAAACTGTAAGGCCATTTTACTTCCCTGTCTGGCTCCTGGGCTCTGCTGCAGATTCTGGAAACCCAATATAGGAAACTTGTAAGAGTTAGCTTTTAAATGTCACTTTTTAATACTTTATTCCAGGATCTAGGAAAACATCCAGTTCTAATATACTCCCTATTTTGTCTTCACTTGATTACAGGTTGCACCCCTTCCCTCCAGCCTTGCACCTCATCCTCAGCCCAACCTCTTCCTATTCTTCCAGTGTCTTCTAGATACCTAACCCTGACTACTAGTACTTTCTGTCCCTTCTGACATTAATTCACTATTCTTAACCTTATATCCCTTGTATCTGATTTTCCGAAGCAACATACCCCTATGGCATCTATATTATTTCTATCAGGAAATTACTGCAGATACGTCAACAGAAGGTATAGTCTTTGAATGTAGATATGAACGAATACTGACAGCAATGCTGTTATTAATCAATTTTTGTTTCATATAAAGAGGCTATGAATAACTGATTTATGAAAAAAATAAAAATTGATCCTCACTTTGCCAGAAGGCTTTGGATGCATTAAGAAATTCAAGATCCTCTTCACTAGTTCACTATTTACACCTGATCTCTCCAAATCAAGAACCTCACAGATGCTCTTTAACATGGCATTTCTAAATCTGAAACAGAAAATGGAAGAAACCAAGGTGTTAATATAGGAAAGCTTACATATGTTCTCCACAATATAAAGGGAAAGCCAACCAAATTGGCTCAGTTACATACATTTAAAAAAGTGGCCAATGCTTCTATGAATCTTTTTTCTTTTTTTTTTTTTGAGACAGTTTCGCTCTTGTTGCCCAGGCTGGAGTGCAATGGCCCAATCTTGGCTCACCGCAACCTCCACCTCCCAGGTTCAAGCGATTCTCCTGCCTCAGCCTCCCAAGTAGCTGGGATTACAGGCATGCGCCACCACAGCCGGCTAATTTTGTATCTTTAGTGGAGACGGGGTTTCTCCATGTTGGTCAGGCTGGTCTCAAACTCCTGACCTCAGGTGATACGCCCGCCTCAGCCTCCCAAAGTGCTGGGATTACAGGTGTGAGCCACTGTGCCTGGCCCGAATGTGATTTAACATTAAAAAATAAACTTAAAGCATATTGATCAAAATACAGTATTTATAAAAATAACTTACTTTTTCAACATTTCTTCCTTCTTTTTATATTGGACACTTCCTTTTTCAAATGGAAAGCCACTGAACTGACCCACATTCTTCTTTAATGAGGACACCTGAAAATGTTCCTTATTATTAATGGTATTTATTACCCAGTAATGTACACAAGAATAAATTCAAAGCCAATTCAAAGTCAACATCTTTATTTTCATACCTGTCTGTAAGTTACAATACTGGCTGAACAGTCAACCAATTCAATATGGGTTCAATATTCAACATTTCTTATTCAAAACTGAAAAATGTATTTGTCATTAACATATTAACATTATAAAAATCCTACAAACTTAAGTCTCTGAAAAGAACAATTTGAACAAATTTTCACTGGGGAGTTTTTACCACAACCAAAAGTTACCTGACAGTACCAGGGGATGTGGAAAGTTACTATTTAAAAATATATCCTTTTCATAAGTAATAAAGTTACTAGTAATTCTTCTTTTCCAAATCAAGAAGGACTTTATTCTTTCAAAGTAAAGAATAGCGAGTACCACAAAAAGCTAATACCGTTCACTAGTTATGGGACTTGTGTAAATTAAATTGGTTTAAGGATTAAATGAGATTAACAGACTCACTGAAAATAAATTATGTCATGCACCAGACATTCTATTCTACTTCAGACATTCTAACACCCAACTTTACTTTGCCCACGTACAACCTAAAGCAGTTCCCTCGATTATATAATATACTAAGTCATATGTACAGTATAATAACAATCCTTTAGCAAAGAACTATCATCCAATTTATCAGGTATTTGCTAAAAATGAGATACAATTACACCAAATTCACTTTGTATGAGATTTGTATGAGATACAAATGATTTTGCCTCTTATTTGTATGAGATACAAATGAGATCATATGTATGATCTCATACAAATCATACCGACATTCACTTATTCTGAATGTCGAGAAAATCCAAAAACATGAATTTCTTTCAATACATTTAAAGGTCACTAAAACCTTTCATCACAATTTGGATTTCGTAATTTGAAATTTCAGTTTGGAATAAAAACTACTACAGGAGAAAGAGCCCTAGAGCTGGGCATACTGGCTCACACCTGTAATCCCAACACTTTGGGAGGCCAAGGTGGGAGGACCACTTGAGCTCAGGAGTTCAAGACCAGCCTGGGCACATGGCAAAACCCTGCCTCTACAAAAAGTAAAACAATTAGCCAGACACAGTATGGTGGCATGCACCTGTGGTCCCAGCTACTTGGGAGGCTTAAGCGGGAGGAACACTTGAGCCCAGGAGGTTGAGGCTGCAGTGAGCCATGTATTGCACACTGTACTCCAGCCTGGGTGACAAAGTGAGACCGTGTCTTAAAAGAAAGAAAAAAAAAAGAAAAAGAAAAAGAAAAAAGAAGACAGAGCCCTGGATATTATAATCCAAGTGCTAATATCCAGCTGTGTTTCCTGTGATAAATCATTTAATAAGTATATACCTCAGTCTGCTCAGTCATAAAGTGTGGAAATTGAACTAGTGGATCACTAACATTTACAGAAATTGATTCCATTGTGAAGTAATATACAAGTAGGTTTAAAGTGTAAAAAGGTCTTACAGTGCCTGGCCTGTTGTAAAGCAGTTTGTGTAGATTTCTAAGTTCATCGGTTTTCTTCTTACTTAGAAAAAAATGTATCCTCTCAATTTCACAAAGTTTCTGCCCCTTTCCTGGGGAAAAAAAAAAATCACAATTAAATACCTATGGCTTACTAATACATTTACAAAGTTAATTTAATGAGAATTATTTTCACAGCATAATTTACATGTAACTCTGCTCTTACAGAGCAAATTAAATAAAATTATACCAAAAGTATAAAACACTACCTTGCTGATACTAAGCTACAAACCATCATTTTCACAAATTTAGGCACTTTCACCACAAAATGAAAGGAAGCTAGAATAAACTTACCTTGTGCAATTGTAAATGGCTCTCTCTGTAAGGAAGAGACTTGCATTGTCAACCTCTCTACTTTTTTCTTTTCCCTCTTGCCTTCCACGATGAGACTCTTTTCTAGAAATTAATTTAGTATTTCTTAATTAACAAAAAGCTTAAACATTGTATTAACTTTATTAGATACACATGTAGAACAAAGTCCCCAAAACCTAATACTTTATTCTTCTTCTGAGCATGGTTTTGGAAAGCAAATGACATAAAAGAGGAAAACACTTGATTAATTAATAGAGCACCATGAAAATTTTTTCAGAGTAACATTTTACTCACCTGGCACTCACAGGGACTCAGTTAAAAAAAAAAATTAGAAAGCAAACTAATTTTTATCCAACTAAAATTATTGCCATTACAGTCCAGTCACTTCGTTTGTGAAAAAAATCTAGCTCTGTTTAATCTTTGGACATAATTCTATTTAATAATTGAGATTCAGTTTGCTGTACTTCAGGAATAATCAAATTTAGACTGGGAGATTAAGAACTTCAAAAGATATATAGAGAACAATAACAATTTAGTAAACTGACAAAAGAAACACAAATAAAGACTTCCAGGCAGAACAGCCTGAAGTACGTGGATAGGATAAAACTCTCCAAGTTTACATTTAATGCAATCAACTGGGAGAGCATTACTTTGTAGTTTATGAATAACATTCCTAATGATGACCATAAGTCACTCAAAGTTAAATTGTTTAGTCACAAAAATCTACGGTGAGGCGCGGTGGCTCATGCCTGTAATCCCAGCACTTTGGGAGGCTGAGGCGGGCGGATAACGAGGTCAGGAGATCAAGACCATCCCGGCTAACTCGGTCAGGAGATCGAGACCATCCTGGCTAACTCAGTCAGGAGATCAAGACCATCCTGGCTAACGTGGTGAAACCCCATCTCTACTAAAAAATACAAAAAATTAGCCAGGTGTGGTGGCTGGTGCCTGTAGTCCCAGCTACTTGGGAGGCTGAGGCAGGAGAAAGGCATGAACCCAGGAGGCGGAGCTTGCAGTGAGCCGAGATCGCACCACTGCACCTCAGCCTGGGCGACACAGCAAGACTCCGTCTCAAAAAAAAAAAAAAAAAAAAAAAAAAAAAAAAAAAAAAATCTAGAAAACAGGTAGCATATACTTCAAAATTCAAAACATTAAGCTCCATTTATCTAAAATAAAATCATTTTTTGAATGAAATAAAGTCAGATAAAAGAATACTATATACTGCTCGAGGTTCTGCCATTTATTTAATGCCTGTGTTGTGCAGCTGCACTCAATACTAAGAGGGGATAAATGGATGATAAAAACTGCGTATCTTTTGAAAAAGATGCTACTAAAGAAATGAGACATAAATATACGCCAATATAAAAGATAACAAAACATCTTAAGAAAGATACACAAATAAATTGCTGTGCACTGAGGAGGAATTGATTATTTTGGGACTAGAGAAAAAGGAACAAAGCACGTGTGCTGGCTTTTAAAGACAGCTTAGATTTAGTAATGTAAGGATTCGCACAGAAAGAATACTTCAGGAGAAAGGGCTATCAACAGGTATATTCTGGCCATGTTGTACAGAATGAAGACCAAACACACTAAAACAACCCCTACTATCACTCAACTTCATCAACTTAGTGATTTAAACTATTTGCTTGTCTCTGATTACTAACTACAAGCTAATGACTTCCCAGTCAATCTCCAAGCCACAACTTTCATCTGAGATTCATATTAACTAATATTGCCTCAGTATCTGTGAGGGATTGGTTCCAGGACGCCCCTCAGATGCCAAAATCCATGGATGCTCAAGTCCCTTATTTTTTAAAAAAATGGTGTAGTAGTTACATGTAACCTATGACCATCTTCCCATATACTTTATATCATCTGTAGATTACTCATAATGACTAATACAACTTAACTGATATGTAAATAGTTGTTATACTGTATTGTTTAGGAATAATAAAAAAATCTGTACATGTTCAGTACAGATGCAACCATCCATTTTTACCAATTTGTGGTTGATTGAATCCACAGATGAGGAACCCACAGATATGGAGAGCCAACAGTATATGCCTGTCTGTCATCTGGACAGCTACAATTCATGTCCTACAGGCACCTAAACTCAAAATATTCAAAAGAAAAATCATAATCATCTCCAAACTTGCTCACTTTGTGAATTTTTTTCAAAAAACATTAATACCATCCACCCACCTGCCAAAGACAGAAACCTAAGAGTCATCTTTTACTAGTCATTTCTCTCACTTCCCTTTTCCCCAAAATCACTGCCAATTTTGGCTAATCTGACCCCTTTCTTAGGACAGACTTCAGAGGATATATGAGAAAGCCTGGGTGCCTGGGCAGAAGCCTCCTGCAGGGGTGGAACTCTCACAGAAAACTGCTACTCAGGGCCAGGCGTGGTGGCTCATTCCTGTAATCCAGGCCCTTTGGGAGGCAGAGACGGGCAGGTCACTTGAGCTAAGGAGTCTGAGACCAGCCTGGGCAACATGGTAAAACCCTGCCTCTACAAAAAATACAGAAAGTACCCGGGCATGGTGGCGCATGCCTGTGGTTCCTGAGGTGAGAGGATTGCTTGAGCCTGGGAGGCAGAGTTTGCAGTGAGCTGAGATCATGTTACTGCACTCCAGCCTGGGTGACAAGTGAGACCTTGTCTCCAAAAAAAAAAAAAAAAAAGAAAGAAAACCTCTACTAGGGCAGTGTGGAGTGGAAAGGGGAAATGGGGGGTGGACCCCTAGATTCACCACCAAGGCTCTATTGGCTAGTGGAGCTGTGGGAAGGGGGCTGCCACCTCCAAACTCCAGCATGGTAGAGCCACAAGCAGCTTGCATCCTGAGCTGCCCAAAGCCTTGGGACCCCTCACCCCTTGCACCAGCGTGCTCTGGATGCCAGACATGCAGTAAAAGGAGATAATTTTGGAGCTTTAAGATTTAAAGACTGCCCTGCTAGGATTCAGACTTGTAGGCCGGGCGCAGTGGCTTACGTCTGTAATCCTAAAACTCTGGGAGGCTGAGACGGGCGGATCACCTGAGGTCGGGAGTTTGAGACCAGCCTGACCAACATGGAGAAACCTTGTCTCTATTAAAAATACAAAATCAGCCAGCTGTGGTGGCATATGCCTGTAATCCCAGCTACTCGAGAGGCTGAGGCAGTAGAATCCCTTGAACCAGGAGGCAGAGGTTGCGGTTAGCCGAGGTCAGGCCACTGCACTCCAGCCTGGGCAACGAGAGCGAAACTCCGTTTCAAAAAACAAACAAACAAACAAACACAGAAAAACAAAAACCAAACAAAAACCAAACCAGACTGTGTGGGGCCTATTGCACCTTTCTTTTGGCCTTTCTCCCTTTTGGAATGGGAATTTTACCCAATGTCTGTACCATCACTGTATCTTGGGAGTAAATAACTTGTTTTTGATCTCACAGGCTCATAGGTGGAAGAAACTCATCTTCAGATGAAACTCTGGACTTACAGATTTGGGACTTCTGTGTTAATGCTGAAACAAGACCGGACTTTGGGGGACTACTGCGAAGGCACAACTGAATCTTGAAATGTGAGAAACATATGAGAGTTGGGGGACCGGGGGTGCAATGATATGCTTTGGATGTTTGCCCCCTCCAAATTTCGTGTTGAAAAGTGATTTGCAATGCTGGAGGTGAGGCCTGGTAAGGTGATTAAATCATGGGGGCAGATCCCTCATGAACGGCTTAGCATGGTAATCCGTGGTGGTGAGTGAGTTCTCTCAAGATTTGTTTAAAAGAGCATGGCACCTCCCTCTACAACTTGCTCCCACTCCCAAATGAAATGCCTGCTCCCCCTTTGTCTTCTGCCATGATTGGAAGTTTCCTGAGGCTTTCACCAGAAGCAAATACTGGCGCCATGCTTCTTGTACTGTCTGCAGAACCACGAATCAATAAAACCTATTTTCTTTATAAACTACCCTGCCTCAAGTGTTTCTTTATAGTAACGCAAAAAAAAAAAAAAGCCTAATACAGAAAGTATTTCACTGTCTGGCTTCCATGATGCCTCAGTTCTAAAGTTAAATATTCAGGGTTAAGTAAAATAAAAACTTTCACAATTCTACTTGTCCCACAAACACCTCAAATTAGTAAAAAGAATAATAAATCACAGCTACAATAAAACTATTAGGGGATAAAATTTCTACAACATCATGTTTTTAAAAATAATTTGTCTAGAACAAAACATGGGATTCTTTCAACTACCAACTCTTCCCCAAGCATTACTGTGTTGGCCACTTACAGTATATTTACATGACTTCTCTAATTTTTTCCTGACATGAAGAAAATTCACCATTTCTTTGGCATCTCAACCCTGCCCCCACCAGAAGACCAAAATACAAACAAAAAATTGGAGAAAAAGTGCAGAGCCTCTTTGGCTAGCAGCGAGATAGTGCAGCCAATTTTGTTGTTGTATTAAAAATAATTTTAAAATAACATGTTGTTAAGCAATAGTTTATGTGAAAACTTATATTTAAAAAGCCATGCTTTACTTAAATATGCCCTTCTTAGGGCACATACCACTTTAAACAAACAAAAGGCACACCTTGTAATCTTAACCCAGATTGTGACCACAGGCTGGTTGAGGCTTAAAAAAAATCCGGGTTTAGGAAGAGCGCTTCAACCTCTTCCCAAGTGTGGCTGAGTCGTAAACATATACGAAATAACCGCAGACTAAGCTAATATCAAAGAATGCTAAGAGATGCGACTCGGATTTTTAAATGTTTGGAAACATGTCAAGAAGCGGGTACACCTGAAACAGACACTGCATGCATCCTGGATAAACTGCCGCAGCACACTCCTCTATTCAGTCAAGTTTCCGTTTCACACCTCCAGTCAAATCAGGGCTCATATCGCCCTCCCTTAAAACAGACACAGGTTCGAAACCGAGACAGTGCTGGGCTCACATTTAACTTTCTTTCAGAGTTCACTTTCTTCATTTTTAACTACTTTCTCAAGTAGCAACAGCTTTCACCGCTGTTTGCCAGGGAGGGAAACTTTTTGGTAAATGTAAAAATATTCGAAAGTATTCAAATACTTCCGGGTCTAGCCTTATAACTTCAGTCTTAACGGGCTGCACCAAGACCTTACAATAACTTCAAAAGGCAAAAGATGTGTAATGAAAAGGACAAAATTAGAACATCCACTTAGCAACTTCAAAGGTGCACACACACAGGTAAAAAAAAAAATCAAATCCAAGACCTACAAACTTCCCGTCAAATGATGAAATGTTAACGAACGTTTAGAGCGGACGAGAAGTCGGCTGCACTCCAATACATCTCTACCACGCTAACAAATACTTTAAAAACCGGAATACACAAAGTCAATTCTACGCCATCGCTCAAAACAAAAGCAGATAAATTGTGCACACATTCTCGCTGAAAATCACTCCGACTTCACGCCTCTAAACACCAAAAGAGCAAGAAAACTGTTTCCTGGGTGAAAAATACAAAAAAACTTCGGTCTGAAAAATTCATCAGTTGGGATGCGACTCCCCCCACCTTTTTCCTCCTCCTCCTCCTCCTCGTCGTCCTCGTCCTCTTCCTCCTCGCTCTCCTCTCTGGGACCGGGCATTTCGGGTTCTTTCTCGGACGCGGGCTGGGTGGGGGTTCCCTCCCCCTCCGCAGCAGGGGCCGAGGCGGACATGCTGTGAACCTGCATGCGGGAAGAAAGCCGGACGTCTCGGTCCTCCTACTCCCGCAGGCAGGACCGGGCGGCCACCCTGAATGATGCTACCCTTCCCGCGGGACACCTGCCCTGAAAGTTGCCTCCTCCCATAGCCGGGACCGCAGCGCTCAGTCCCCAGGGGCGGCTTCCCTCCCGCTCCGCCGCCGCCGTCCAGGGATTCCCGAGGCGGGAAACCGCGCCCGCTGCCCCGCGTGCGCGCGCGCCCGCCCGGCCTGCGCTGTTCCCGGCCCGGCCCGAGCTGCCGGCCCTCCACGTCCCCTCCCCCGCCCCAGGCCGCCGTCCAAATGGCCGCGTCCCTCCCCCGTCGGCCGCGGCAGGGGCGACCGGGCCTCCGGCGTCCCGAAGCAGCCCTTACCGCGGATTTCGGCCGCCGCGGGCCTGGCACGCGAGGGCACGAGGAGGTTCTGGGAGGCGGCGGCGGCCGACGCCGAGGAGAAGGCGCGCGGGCCGCTGTCTGGCGTGACGCTCGCGCCGCGCGCTCGGCTCCCCAGAATCAACAAGATTTTCAAAATGGCGGTTCGGGAAGGAGAGCGGGAATGCGGCGACCAATCAGGGCCGCGAGCTGGGAGTTGGCGGGCGCGGGGCGGGGGAGGCGGGGCGGCCGGGTGCCTCCGCGGGAAGCTCGGGCGGGCGGGACCGCGAGGGGTCGCCTCGGCCGCGGGCGGAGGGATGCGCGCGCGGGGCTCTCCCCGGCTGCGCCTGGAGTGTGGTCGGCGCTCGGGCCCCGGAGTGCGGGCGGGCTGTGTCCCGCGGGGCGGGCGGGAGCGGGAGGCGAGGCGGCCTGGCAGCGCGGAACGGAAGGACGCTAGGGGGCCTGCGTGTTTATTGTTTCCACGGTCGCTTCCTGGAAAAGATGATGAGCAGTCCCGGGCCGCGGAGGGGCGCGGCGGGCGCGGTAAAGAAGTTTAGAGATCTCCGAAGTCGCTATCGACAGTGTTACTCTGAGGCGGAGGAGAATTAATCAGCGGTCTCATCAATGCTCCAGAAATCATGCTGGGTGATAGATAACTCCCAAATCTGTATTTCTGAGGACCGCATCGCTTGTAAGGTGCACCGAAAGGAAAAAGATCCTACCTGCCACGTTAAAGGTTCACATAGCCAGCCACATAGATTTACACCCCTGTAAATATAAGGGGAGAGGCTCCCTCCCACCCCATTCCTTCTCCTCTCCTCTCTCACACACACTCTCTGTTTTATAATAGAGGAAATATGTTATTTGGCCGGGTCCAGACCCTTCTCCCAGAGTTCTAGGTCATCTATGCAGATGCTTTTTACACATTCAACACTGCAGACACTCAAAGCAGTATCTTCCCTGCTCAATGCTGCCTTCTTTTGTATGTGATTTCCTTTATTTTCTCCCAACTCTTCAACCACTAGCTCACCTGAAGGATCCTTGTACTCAGTGGACTTAATAGAAATGTGATCAGTGAAATTTGCCTGGACTCTGGGTTGCAGGACAAAAATTAGACATTTCCTTTGAATCTTCCCTTTTCCTTTTGTTCCCCTTCCAAAACATACGCGAATAGTGTCATTTCTACCCTCAAACGGTATGCCATTTTCCACACTATTTATCCCACTCAAATCCTATCCACACTCCACAGCTCATCTCTCCTTCTTGCTGCCTGCAACGTGGTTGGGAGTGGGGGGTTGTGTTTCACCCCTATTTGTGTTACAGCTCTTTCAATCCTACCATTTGGCAGGTCCTGAGTTCTGGTCCTGTGTCCAGGAAGAGTGAGGCACGCAAACAACTGGAGGGTGAGCAAGGTGGACAGGAGCTTCACTGAGGGACAGAACAGCTCTCCTGAGACCTGAAGTGGGTTGCTCCTTTCTGCAGGGGGGTTGTCCCGACTAGCGTCCTGCCCTCAGTGGAGAGGAGACCCATAGTGGGCAGCTCCTTTCTGCAGGCAGGTGGTCCTGACGAGTTGAGGAGACCAAAGTGGGTAGCTCCTTCCTGCAGCTGGTAGGCCTGAGCGCTGGCTGAGTCTGGGGTTTTTATGGGCTCAGAAGGGAGGAAGTGTGTGCTGATTGGCCCATGGGTGGGCCCAGAAAAAGCACCACTAGTTTTCACTCTGGGCTGCAGACTCTACCTGGAACTGGCCACCAGGCCCCCCAGGCTTCAGGCCATCCCTGGCTTGAAGGTGGGCAGGGACCTACCCCTTTCCCCCCAGGAACGTGTCTGCCTCCCACCATCAACATGTCATCCATGGCGCCCAGGCTGTTTGTGCTGAGGGGTGCCT
Organism: Homo sapiens; assembly: GCF_000001405.40. Lineage (NCBI taxonomy): Eukaryota > Metazoa > Chordata > Mammalia > Primates > Hominidae > Homo > Homo sapiens. The sequence goes on from NC_000006.12 coordinate 18,266,267, forward strand.
GCAGGCCCACGCGGAGCCACCCTCAGCCCCACCAGCCTCTTTCTCGCACTTGTTGGTGCCCAAAGTCCAGAGAGGGCCAAGGCGGCAGGTGGCTGGTGTGTCAGTGCTGCCCTGAACACGTGCACACCCAGCTGGGTTGCAGCAGCGCCCGTGCCTGGCCACAACTTTGCTCCGCCTTGGAGTGGGCCCTGGGAGTGGGTAGAGAGAGGGTAGAGGCCTGGGAACAGGCACATTCTTTTTTTTTTTTTTTTTTTTTTTGAGACAGGGTCTCACTCTGTCACCCAAGCTGGAGTGCAGTGGCGTGCTCTTGGCTCACTGCAACCTCAGGAGCAGGCACTTTCAGCCTGCAGGGGCAGGGGGTTTCCTGGGCCCCCAAGAGTGCAGGGATGGCTGGGTGCAGAGCTGCGGCTGGACGGCTGCAGCTGTGCCCAGGAACATGGGTCTCCCGCCTCGCTGACGTGGTAGGGGACGGGGCTCTTGCATGTTCCTGGCGCCCGCTGTCTCTGAGGAGTGGGCAGCTCTGGCCACGCCTTCCATACTGCAGCTGGCATCCCCTCAGCAGCTGCTCCAGACAGGCTGTCACTGCCATCAAGACAACGAGCAGGTGAATATATATTCTATGACAATTAGTGATAGCAGTAAAGCAAGTTAAAGAAGATAGGAAGTACCAGTAGGGTGGATGGGATTTTGTTTTATATATTCAACAATGAAGCAATGACTTATTAATAAGATGACATTTGAAGAGATCCTAAGAAAATGGGAGATCTGAAGACCCACTAGGTTATTCCAAAGAATGCTCTAAAGTTTTGGATGTGGGGCACGAGAGTCAGGTAGAAATCAGTGATGACCTTGGGGTTTTTGGTTCAACAACTGTGAGAACAGGAGTAGCTATTCGTTGAGATGAGAAAGACTTCGGGGGTGGGGGTGGGCAGGATGGTTTTAGAGGGGAAAGTGCAGGAGGTGGGAATGAGTTGTTTTGTTTTAGACATGTTAGTTTTGACAATTCAAAATGGAGATTCAGGAGTGGCAGTTGGATTTGAGAGTCTGGCATTCAGCAGAAGAAACTCTAGCTCAAGAAATAAATATAGCAGTTGTCAACATGTAGATGGTATTTAAAGCCCTGAAACTGAATGAAATCACTAACAGGGAACATAGGTAGGGATAAGGGGATATTCAAAATTGTACCTTGGAGCTCTCCAGTGTTGAGAGGTTCAAGAGTGAGAGGGGAACCAGCAAAGGAGAAGAGAAGAGCAACTGTAGCCAGTGAAGTGGGAAGAGACTTACATGAAAATTGTGTCCGAGAAGCCAAGTGACAAAGGAGTGTTTTTGAAGGAGGGTGATCCACTGAGTCACATGCTGATAAAAGGTCAGGTAAGATGAGAACTGATAATTGACCACTGGAAATACCAATGTTGTGTTATCAGTGACATGGACTATTCTGTGGGGTGGTGAGTCTAAATGTTCCAGGAGTGGGAATACAGAGAGACAGGTAGGCAAGGAATGGATTCAGACACTCTTTCCAGGAATGTTGCTGTACAGGAAAACAAAGAAGGAGCAGTAGTTCAAAGGGAGTTTGGTTTTGAAGAAAAGAGACCCATGTTTGTATGATGATGAGAATGAATCAGTGGAGAGGGGAACATTGATGATACAAGAGAAGGAGACAGTAGCTGAAGCCAATCTACAGTAGGTAGGTCAGGTTGGGTTCTCTGTAAGCAGAAGCTGAAACAGAATTTGGGACACCAGGTGATTATTAGAGGTGAAGAACTGTGAAGGGAAGGGGGAAGAAGTAAGATTGGGCAGAGGAAGAGGTCAAACTGCAAAGCTGGCTTGACAGAGCTTCAGACAGCTACGAGGGGAGTTCTGGAGTGAGTGCTGCTCTTCAGGGTATTCTGAGTGGCTGAGCTTTTATATCGCCATACTGCTCAGTCACCGCATGCAGGCAGCCCCAGGAAGGGTGTTACCTCGACTGAAGTGATTCCACTTTAGTGGCTTTGGCAGATCCTGAAGGAGCTGACAGATGGAGGCTGCCTGCTAACTCTAGGGTCTGCAGCTGGGCAGCAGATCCTTCCTTGAAGAGGCATCTGGGTGACACATCTCCATGTCTGCCACAGGAGATGAGGGGACATGGGATCTAGTGCACAAGTAGAAGAGTTGTCCTTGAAAAGGACAATGGAAAGCTGTTCCATTGTAACAAGAGGAAACACAGAGGACATCAGTACCCATGCAGGGCAGGGGTTGGCAGATGTAAGTGGGAGTTTTTGAAGTTTTTATTTCTTTAAGTTTCTCAGTAAAATCCGGGGCAACATTATTGACAGTGAGTGAGTGTGAGAGAGACTGTTGAAGGTTTTTGGACAGGAAATGTGAAGTGATCATGTAGAAAAATGGGAGATGGATGGATTAGGGAATGTCGTAGGCTTGCCATGTAGCTGCAAGGACTCACTGGGATCAATGGCTGTAAAGTGAGAGTGAGACCAGTCAGCATTATTGTTTTTCTCCGGCCATATTCAGCTACCTGGGAGTAAGTACGAAGATGGCAACAACAGCATCCAAAAAGTGCATTTAACCAGGTTGGTATTTTGCTAGGCAGGTAAGAAAGAAGGAGAAAACGGTGAGTGAGTTGAGGATACACACAGGACAAGGAAGATAGTGATGGACCATAGAGTCTGAGCTGAGTAAGGAGGGAAGTAAAGACATGAGAAGGGCGAGGCTTAGTGAGAAGGGTACAGGACCGATCAGTAATAACTTTATTTCTGTTTATTACATTTATCACTACCAGAAAATTTTGTTTATTTATTGTCTATCTTTCCTACAAAAATGTAAACTCCCTGAGGCTGCAGGGACTTTGTCTTGTTCATCACTGTATTCTCAGCACCCAAAACAGTGCCTAACACATAGTAAGTATTTTGCTGAGTGAATGAATGCCAACCAAAATAAACCCGTATTATGAAGATCCAGAATTTTTTTGGTTAATGTGATGAGAAAGTATATTAGGATAAAACGGGCTATTTCAATGGCCTAATGGCAAAGTTTGTTTCTTGCTCTATAAATCTCCCTGTCAGTTCAGGCAATTCTCCAGGGCTTCCGTTTGTGTGGTTTAGTCATTGCTCTAGGCTACTTTGATCTTGTAGATCTACTATCTTAACACAAGTCCATCATGTTCATGGTGGTAGGGGAAGAGAGCAAGAGGAGAACCCATACCTGCTGTTCTGTGGTTCTGCTCATTGGTCAGCTCAGTCATATGATCCCACCTAACCACAAAGAATTTAGACAATATAGGGGCACACAGGAAGTAGCTGATGAGTATTGCTGTCTCTGACACAGAAGGGCTAATTGCAACCATATCTGGGACAATCGGGATGAACAGGGGATGTGCCTGAGAATATGTTGGTTTTATTTTGGCAATTATTGAAACCCTGGTTCTTAAACACTTCCCTCCTTTTGCCTGTGAGAAGTTTTTATATAAACTGCACACACATACCGATCTTTCTCATGCACATAATCTAACTCTTGCATACACAGATCGATTTTTCCCAGAATGTAAGTTTCAGGGGCAGAGGCCCTGTGCTTCCTTTTATTATTCCCTCCCGGTGCTTGGCATGGTGCCTGACACATAGTAAATACTTTAAAAAAATTTGTTTAATTAAAGTGCACCCCCTTTTGGTTCTTAGTCTGGCATGAGTTTGTTGTCTGGATGCTATTTAAAGACCATCCAGGCTGGGCGCGTTGGCTCACGCCTGTAATCCCAGCACTCTGGGAGGCCGAGGTGGGCGGATCACCTAAGGTCGAGTGTTCGAGACCAGGCTGACCTACATGGAGAAACCTCATCTCTGCTAAAAATACCAAAATTAGCCAGGCGTGGTGATGCATGCCTGTAGTTCCAGCTACTTGGAAGGCTGAGGCAGGAGAATCGCTTGAACCCGGGAGGCAGAGGTTGCAGTGAGCTGAGATTGCACCATTGCACTCTGGCCTGGGCGACAAGAGCGAAACTCCATCTCAAAAAAAAAAAAAAAAAAAGTCCAGTAATATCAAGTCAGTAAACTAACGTGGCTTGAATAAGCTAATGAACAGATTCTTTTTTAAACCTGGTTATAAATATAAATATAGTGACACATTTGGTTCTTCTAAAAACAAGATATCATACTCTATTCTGGTGGAGTGAGTTAGCCACAGTGTACGGTGTAGCTATTTAAGATTGGGTTTGGAAAATATCTGAATGCAACAATATCCAGTTGGTTGAATAAAGTGGATGTTCTGGCTTGACAATGGTCAGGGAGGACCCCCTCAAGGCAAGCAGTTGGAGGAGGTAAGGGAAATGGTGAGGCTTAGAAAACTTGGAGAACAAAGGATGAATGGCTAACAAACTTTTGCTCCTAGTAACTAATTTTGCTCTAACTTTAAGAGTATTATTTGTAACACATTTCTTTAATATATCTTATCAGCTGTTCCATGGAATGAGACTAAAGGAATAGAGAAGCATAGAGCCTTGGTATTATTGCCCTTATTTGCTGTTAAAACAAAACAGGCAGGTCATCTCTATAGGAGGGGGCTTTTCTACTAAGATTCAATACTCAGGTTATATTAATGCCCTTGGCCAAATCATAACATCAGAGTCAGAAAAATGATTTCTATTGCAAGTTGGCTAGATATCAACATTGTCACAAGACTGTCAAAATGGGGTGTTATTTTCGAAAATAGATATGTGTAACTCTAAAATATTTCTATAAATCTTATTTTTTCCATTTTTTGGTTTTCTTTCTTTCTTCATTTTTTTTTTTTTGTTTCGTTTTGTTTTTAGATGGAGTCTCACTCTGTCACCCAGGCTGGAGTGCAGTGCCGCGATCTTGGCTCACTGCAACCTCCGCCTCCTGGGTTCAAGTGATTCGCCTGCTTCGGCCTCCCAAGTAGCTGAGATGACAGACGTGTGCCACCACGCCCAGCTAATTTTTGTATTTTTAGTTAGAGACGGTTTCACCATGTAAGTCAGGCTAGTCTCGATCTCCTGACTTCAAGTGATCCGCCCGCCTCGGCCTCCCAAGGTGCTGGGATTACAGGCGTGAGCCACTGTGCCCGGTCAAATCTTATTTTTAATCTAGACTTTAATAAGTAAAACATTTCTTGTTATAACTCATTCTTCATTTCAGGAAATTAGAGAAGGTTTGGGAGAGTACCTGACTGACATGCAGCTTGGATTTAAAAAATTAAATTTAGAATAAACAGACGTTTTCAAATTAGGAAAAGAATATTAGAAGGTGATGCTACCTCCTAATAATATATATTTTGAAAAATGCATGTGTCTCTCTCCCATTCACATCTCAATATAACACAATGGTTCTCAAGTGAAGCCAGGACATTTGATAGTGTCTGGAGACATCTTTGGTTGTCAAAACTTAGAGGGGGTGCTAGTGGCATCTTGTGATTAGAGACCAGAGATGCTGCTAAACATCCTACAAAACACAGGACAGCCCCGCAACTTTTTTTTTTTTTTTTTTTGAGACAGGGTCTCACTATGTTGCCCAGGCTGGTCTCGAACTCCTGGGCTCAAGCAATCCGCCCGCCTCGGCCTCCCAAAGTGCTAGGATTATAGGTGTGAGCCACCATGCCCAGCTGAACATTATCTTCTTGCACATTCCTCATGCTTATGTTTCTGAAGTTGAGACTCCCTCCCCTCCCTGCTATTTTGTGCTTCCTTAATACTTTGTTCATATCTTTATTAGGGTATTTATGAAATTATAGTGTTATTACTTATTTACATGTCTGCCTTCATAGTAAACATTTACCCTCAACCTTCTCAAAGATCCTTCCATCCGCATTTCCAATCCTGTGGCCACCATCCATAGAATTAGATGAAGAACTCTTTTTAGGCATGTTTTACATCATGACTCTGACCTGAGTAAAGCCAGTTAATTCCCTACCTGGGAATTTGGAATTATTAGAAAGATGGATTCCACTTGGTAATTGGATCTGTAACAAATAAAGTTAGGAACTGTAGGGACATGTTTTCTGCTGTGTGAATTGGAGAAGCCCTAGTCTACAGAGAGAGAGAAGAGTGAAGATGAAGGAGGGTCAAATAAGGCAATGTGATGGCTAATTTTATGTGTCAACTTGATTGGGCCATTGGATGCCCAGATATCTGGTTAAACATTATTTCTGGGTGTGTCTGTGAGGGTCTTTCTGGAAAAAATTAGTATTTGAGTTGGTGGACTGAATAAAGCAGATGGCACTCCCCAGTGTGGATGGGCATCATCTAATCCATTGAGGGCCCAAATAGAACAAAACGGTGAAGAAAGATTGAATTCACACTGGGTGGCTGCTTGAGCTGGAACATCAGTCCTCTCCTGCCCTTGGTGCTCCTGGTTCTCAGGCCTTCAGACCAAGGCTGGAATCTATACCCTTGACTCTCTGGCTCTCAGTCCTTTGAACTACACCCAGCTTTCCTGGATCTTCAGCTAAAATAAAAAGAGGAGAGAATAAATAGAAATAAAAAAAAAAACAAAGGAAAATTGAGAAAAACCAAATTGAAATGACAGACAGAAGGTAGCAAATCATCTGAAAAAATACTATGAATCGAGTGACCTAGGGGTGAAATGTTTGGCTGTCTTGCTGTGGCTCTGCCCCCCTAAGGCCAACCAGCCTTTCCCTCTTCCTTTCTTCTTGGCCTATTTGCTCTGACTCAGGTGGGAGGATCCATCAGGGGAGCCCTGCTACCTCCTAGCACCCTAGCCCTAGCACTCTAGCCTTCCATTAAGTCTTCTGAGTACAGCCCACCATGGTTACAGCGAGGTGGCTCAGCTCCCAGGGACAGCCATAGCTGCCTAGACCTTAGTGAATCTAGAGAGCATGGCCTAGTGGAAGGAAGTAGCATGAACCTTGGTTTGTAAAAATGTTTAAATTATTTCTTTAAAAGCTAGTCAAATGAAGCAATGGGAATGGAGAGGGAACAAAGAGATCTGTAACTGGTTGAGATTAATTAGTTATAAGCAACAGTGCACTCAGACCAGCCTAGCACGGACTTTGACTTCAGACAAATAGATGCAAATTGAGGAAGACCATAAAATAATTAGAGTGAGGGATAATAAAAATAGCCGGGTGCGGTGGCTCACACACTTTGGAAGGCTGAGGCGAGTGGATCACTGGAGGTCAAGAGTTCGAGACCAGCCTGGCCAACATGGTGAAATCTCGTCTCTACTAAAAATACAAAAATTAGCCAGGCGTGGTGGTGGATGCCTGTAATTCTAGCTACTTGGGAGGCTGAGGCAGGAGAATCACTTGAACCCGGGAGGCAGAGGTTGTGGTGAGCCGAGATAGTGCCACTGCACTCCAGACTGGGCAACAGAGCGAGACTCCATCTCAAATAAACAAACAAAAAGAGAAATAAAATAACTCTCTCAAAAGGAGAGGGAGAAGAGGCAGGAGCATGCTGGTTTGCTTTTAACATGGTAGGAAATTGGGGATGTATATCAATGTACGTCTTATGTGTCAATTTCCCTTTAATTTATTCCACTACTCAGTTACAAATCAACATTCTTTTATCTTTGAAGTGTGTGAGATAGAGTCACTGTATAAATATTTAGTTTTAAAAAGCCATTTTCTCTCTCAATTCTATTTACCAATATGTTTCTCAGTTTTTTACCATCAGTGACCCTCCTCCCTCCACACTTCTCTTCCCTTCCAGGAAAGCTTGTCTCTTAGGAACTTGTCATGGGACTGAATTTAGATTCCATAAAGGTATGAGGATCTCTACATTGGTATTGATTGATTTTTAAGACTGGGTCTCAATCTGTCACTCAGGCTGGAGTACAGTGGCATGATAATGGCTCACTGAAGCTTCGACCTCTCTGGCTCAAGGGATCCTCCTGCCTCAGCCTCCTGAGCATGTGGGACCACAAACACATGCCACCATGCCCAGCTAATTTTTTTATCTTTTGTAGAGATGAGGTCTCCCTATTTGCCCAGGCTGGTCTTGAATTCCTGGGCTCAAGTGATCCTCCCACCTCACCCTCTCAAAGTGCTGGGATTATAGGCAGGAGTCACTGTACCTGGCCTGGTACTCATTGATTAAGTGTCCTTTACAGAGATCTTCTTCCTGATTTATCCTCTTTCCTCTCATCCCTACCTCCCATCCTCATTAGTTCTCTGCCTGCAGCCAGGAGTCTTTTGTTTTTTTAATTGATCTCATTATTATGTTGCCTATAACACTTAAATGCCTCCCCATCGTCTGTAGGATCAAGTGTAATTTTTTAATTTATTTTTTTAGAGACAGGGTCTTGCTTTGTCACCCAGGCTGGAGTGTAGGATGCGATCATAGCTCACTGCAGCCTCGACCTCCCAAGCTCAAGAGATCCTCCCACCTCAGCCTCCTAAGTAGCTAGGACTACAGGCCAATGGCACCACACCTCGCTAATTTTTCAATTTTTTTTTGTAGAGATAGTGTCTCTCTATGTTGTCCAGGCTGTTTTGAACTCCTGGCCTCAAGCAGTCCTCCCACCTCAGCCTCCTAAAGCAGCCTCCAAAGCTCACGGTATGAAACGCGGTGCCTGGCCTAATGTAGAATTTTTTTAAATTTTTTATTTTAAAAAAATATTTTAAAAATTTCAGTAGCTTTTGGGCTACAAGGGATTATTGTTATATGGATGAATTGTGGTGAAGTCTGAGATTGCAGTGCACCTGTCAGCTGAGTAGTGTACATTGTTACCAATATGCAATTTTTTATTCCTGACCCTCCTACCCTGCCCTGTTCTGGGTTTCCAATATCCATGATTACCCCTCTATATGCCTTTGTATATCCATAGCTTAGCTCCCACTTATAAGTGAGAACACTTGGTATTTGATTTTCCATTTCTGAGTTACTTCACTTACAATAATGGCCTCCAGCTCCATCCAAGTTCCTGCAAAATACATTATTTCCTTCTGTTTTTAATGACCAAGTAGTAGTCCTGGGTGTGTATGTACCACATTTTCTTTATCCTGAAGTGCAATTTGTAAAACATGGTCTAGACGACTCTACATGATCTGACTTCTGTTCATCTCTCTAGCCTTGTCTCTACATTGTTCCTCCCAGTCTCCCACCCCAAAGAAAAGATCCTCCAGCCATAGTGAATGGCCATGTTCCTTCTTACCTTTGGCTTTCTCTCCATGTTGGTGCTCCTACTGGAAAACTTTTTCTTCTCCTATTTTCCTGTTCTGGGCCAAATTACCCTCACTCTTAAGGTCTCACCTATACTGCCCCGGATGTGTCATCCTCCATCAGAGCATCTACTTTTCACAGCCTGTTTTCTTGTCTACACCCTCCTTTTCTTGTCTACACCCTCCTTCCCAATCGGCTTGATGAGAGCAGGAATGTTGTCTTTCTGATAGCTCTTCCATCCTCAGCACCCAGTGTTTATTGAACGCTTGCTAGTGTGAGACTGGCAAGTATTTATTCTGACAGAAGAAAAAAGAATGCCAGGCCAGGCGCAGTGGCTCATGCCTATAATCCCAGCACTTCAGGAGGGCAAGGGGGGAGGATCATTTGAACCCAGGAGTTTAAGATCAGCGTGGCCGACATGGCGAAACCCCCTTTTTACAAAAAATGCAAAAATTAGCTGGACATGGTGGCGCGTACCTATAGTCCCAGCTACTCTGAGGCTGAGGCAGGAGGATTGCTTGAACCCAAGGTCGAGGCTGCAGTGAGCCATGACAGCACCACTGTACTCCAGCCTGGGTGTCAGAGCAAGACCTTGTCTCAAAGAAAAAAAAGAATGCCTGTGTAGTCTTTGGTTGACCTCCCTCCTCCCTCTTCACCTCTTCTTACATCAGCTAAGCTGGTTCTTTCAGTTGTAGTAACTTGATTGGTGAGTTTATCTTCTGATATCTGCCTTCTATCTAGTAGACAAACCTGACAGTTTTTAGTAAGTGCCCATTTTTCAGCCTTCAGATGAGAAACTTATTTGATAAATTTAGAAAAAGACAGTGGATTAATATGGTGTCTCTTTAATAGATATTTGCATTTTCCAGGGCCCTGTTACAAACTGGTTGAGAAGTTGATTCCTAGCAGCGTTTATAATATGACTATGAATAATGCTTTACTGCCTTTAACATATTTCATAAATATATACTATTAATATATTGATAGGTGAATGAGTGAGTGGAGTGCCATTTAACAATTCAACTTCCACATTCCCAGTAGGGGTTATGTCACTCTCTGGCTCCTGGGAGTTAGTGATACCGTCATGTTTCTTTGTTATTTTTAAATTACTTTTTTTATTTTATTTACTTCAAAGTTTTTTATTAACTTTAAAAATCTTTTCTATTCTTTTATAATTTATTTATATTATGCCCTCAAACATCCTTCTATCCAAGATACCGTCATGTTCCCAGGATCCCTTCCCGTCGTTCTTTTTCTCTGCCCTTTGCTGGTTTTCTCCATTAGAACTCTCTTCTTTGAACACATCCACCTGCTTCTTTCCAGAACCTGAGCCTCAGAACTGAGTCTTAAGTGAGAACAGAGGCTCCGGGCATGCTCGGTAACCAAAGCCAGGGTGTAATTAACTGCTCTTGCCCTGAGGCAGGGCCCTTACAGGTGGCAAGTACCAGCGCTGCTGGGAAGAGACTTGCTCTGTCTTGTGCAGTTGAACACACAACTGCTTTCTGAGGCCAATCTAACCTCCTGGCAACCCAAGTTTATAAAGTGGGGATGTCTGCATTTTCAAAACAATAAAACGTAAGGAGTTATTTTGGACAAATTAAAATGCCTGGCAGGAGATTCTCAAGAGTTCAACCTATACACGAATATCAAGTGTTAAATAATGCTGTGGTTAAGACAAAAAAGAGGACGGAGCCAGGGTATGAATATAAATGGTGCCCTACTTTGAACCTCATTGGGCAGATCAAAGATTTTTAAAAGGTTTTCTGAAGTTGCCCAGCGCCTAGAATTTCAAGGACCGCATTCGCTGCCTCCTTCCTAAAGAGGGTGCGTTTGTGGGGAAGGTGAGTGCGCGCGCGCGGAGGGAGGGCCGGCCGCGGAGAGGGGCCAAAACTCTTCGGAATCAGCAGCCAGAGAGGCTCTGAGGGCGCCCGCGGGGCGGAGGGGAGCGGGGCAGAGGGCCGCCGGGGCGAGGGCCGAGGAGGGGTCCGAGACGCGCCAAGGGGCTGGTAGCTAGGCGACCTGAATGTCTTCCATACCTGAACCCGCAGCCTGAAGAAGCTGATAGCGGACCCCGAGCGCGCGCGCGCCTTGGCGGGAGCCCTGCGCCTCCCGGGGTCTCCCTGCTCCTTACTTGGACCTCGGGCGCAAGGTAAGGAGGGGCACGGGGTGCAGCGTTCGCCCTCGAGCTGCCTGGAGCCTCTGCGAGGGGCCAGTTCGGCCTCCCCGAGGCTGTCACCGCCTCCCCTTCTGCTCCTTCCCTTTCTCCGTCCCCAGGTCCCCTCCGCGCAGAGCTGAAGCCGCGGCGGGCGGCCCACGGGGGATCAGACCCTCGGGCATCCGCGTTTCCCCTCCGCCGTCCGCCGGACCCCCACCTCTTCTCCAAGCTCCACTCCCGACTTTTCTTCCCCGCCCCCGGGAAGCTCTGGAAACCCGCACCCCCGGCTCTGAGGTCAGGGCTGGCAGGAGTAATCCACCCTTTCCAGGTGTGTGGCGCAAACACGGACGCAAAGATCTCCCCTAGGGTCTGTAACAATTTCCAGGCTGAAAGGTGATAACTCCTTCTCCTTCCATAACATACCTTCCCCCCGCCCCCACTTCCTTTACTATCCTAACTTTGGGAGGAATATTGATTCTTGATCAAAGTAAATGCACTGTCTTACCTTTGGTATCGGCACAGGCTGAGGTGGTTTTTTCCCCCCTTAACTATTATGATAAGTGTACAAGGTTTTCAGGGTGACTGCGGTGCTACAACTTTATAACAACTTAAAGCAAAAGCTCTTAGGCGCTGGGGAAAAAAGCTGGACCCCACTCTGAAATCTCGATTCAGAAATCTGGTGTGTGTGCGTGTGCGTGCCTGCATGCGTGTGTGTGTTCAGGCTTGAGTAGATTTAAAAAGCACCTCAGGTGATTGTGATGCCCGCCCCCGCAACATACCCCCAAGTATCTGTAAGGTCCGCAAAGAAGAGAGAGGGGCCACCCACTGTGGCTAAGCATCAGTTGAAACTATTAGTGTGAATTGAAAATAAAAACAGTGAAAGGGATGAAAGCCAGTTCCCCTCAAGTTGATTAATGTGATTGGTGCGGTATCATTGGATCTGAGAAGGTAATTTTTTTAAATTTCGTTTTTATTTTTTGAGACGGAGTTTCGCTCTGTCGCTCAGGCTGGAGTGCTGTGGCCCGATCTCGGCTCACTGCGACCTCCGCCTCCAGGGTTCAAGTGATTCTCCTGCCTCAGCCTCCCGAGTAGCTGGGATTACAGGTATACGCCACCATGCCTGGCTAATTTTTGTATTTTCAGTAGAGACAGGGTTTCACCATGTTGGCCAGGCTGGTCTCGAACCCCTGACCTCAAGTGATCCACCCGCTTCGGCCTCCCAAAGTTCTGGGATTACAGGAGTGAGCCATAGCGCCTTGTCCGAGACAGCAATTTTGGAAAGGGAGAGTTAACATTCATTTGAAACTCTGATATAACATTGGGGGAAATGCATACTTCTAGGAGACCTGGTTAAACAGCTTTTAAATATCAATTTTTAAAATATAAGAATTCCTTCACAAGTACCCTGACAATTAGAAGGGGCTGAGGCCCATTCTCCAGAGAATCAGAAAATCTTCCTTCACTGCTCCCTTGACTTTTTGTCGATGATGGAATGCAGCCCATTGACATTTTTACATTTTTCTTACTTTAAGGCTAAAGACTCAAATGGACTATTATCTCTAGGAACTAGAAGGAACAGTGATCATATTAATTAATTTAGATCCTGTTTTCACTCCTAATTATTTGAACCAAGTTCTTCTATCCTGAATTGATTAAGAGAGTCTGTAAATTATATCATATTTACAGAAATACTAAATGTTTCTCCATCTTGAACTTTGTCATCGATGCATGTCTGCTACTTTTCATATATTCATATATGTACCTGAACCATTATAAGTACTTATCCAACTATCAGAAGGTAACTACCAGGGAAAATAAAGATTTTTATTTTCTGTCTTTTGAAAAATTGAGGTGAAGGACCAATTTTTTAAAGTACCCTTAAGTAGTTATAACATTAAAGCTTACATTTCTTTTTATGAAACCAGATGCCTGTTATGAAATAGGGATGATATTCCATACCCGCTTTCAAGGATATTAAGGACAAGCAGGAGGCTGTCTGTAAAGCATTTTGAACTTTTAAGAAAAGAATCACTGTCTAGAGATTGAGCCAATGTGATTGTTTTCCTGGCAAACTTTTTCTCCTTTCTAAAATTAACTTTCCCCCAGGAAAAATAGTGCAGATGCGCATGATTCGGTCAACCAAGTCCAGAAAATACTGTCTGAATTTTAAAAGTGACCTTAATTCATCCCTATAGATCTAATGTTTGCAACCTATGCCACAAAATATGCAGAAATATTCATTGCTTGCTGACCTTTGCAAAGTGTTAGCTTAGTAAGGGTAGTCATGGACAGAGCACAATATAAAATTTATTGGTTTAGGCAAAACTATTAACATTATTTTCCTAAGGTTTTTGTGGACGTGTGTACACTGGTTCTGGGACTTCTATAAATATGTATATGTTGCATATGTTTTTAATAGGAACAAAAACCCACAATAATTTTTTATTTGTGGCAGAACACTGTAAGCATTAGGTTTTGATTACTTTTTGATGGAAATTTTAAAATGACAGAACTGAGAGCTTCAAGGAAATAATTTCATAAAGATCTATTTGGAACGAGAAGACCTTTTTTTAAAAAAAGATGTTTGAAGCCCAAAGTCTGTATGCTTAGCCTCCATAGAACGGTCCTTTGTGAGTGAGTAAGGGTGGTAGATCCAGTTTTGGCAACCTCAGACGATGGATGATTAGACTCTGCCACTCTTCTCCAGACCTTTAATTTGGTCTGTAACTTGATGCTTCACTGACCCTACGCTATCCCTGCCACGCTAACTCACAGAGGAATTGTTGGCACTCTGAATTGAATTTTTTTCCCCTCCCATCAGTTAGAACATGTTTGCATAGGTTGCAGAATGCAGTTACATTTTTAGCTCAGTATTCTAAGAAATAACTTTGGCCACGGAGAGCATAGCCTTAGTGCAGCCTACACTACAAATTGCCTTATTTCATTGAGCTATGATAACTTACCAATGATTCAGCTATGTAGAAGTAATAGCGTTATAGAGTATTAAAATTAGAAGGCACTTTAAAAGTCATCTAGATTTTAATCATTTCTTTCTACAGATGAATACCGAAGTGCTCATAAGTATAATCCAAACTGAGAATAGACATTGAATTTTATATTCTTTCCAATTCTTGTAGTAATGAGAATTTTGTTCATTTGAAATGAATTTATATATGAATTTAATAATGTAGCAGTGACAGCAAAGTGGTTGCAAATCTCAGCTAGATATTCAACAAAACTCAGAGTGTGGCATTAGGCTGGGAGCAGTGGCTCACAACTGTAATCCCAGCACTTCGGGAGGCTGAGGCGGGAGAATTGCTTGAGCCTGGGAGTTGGAGACAGCTTGGGAAAGATGGCAAGACCTGTGTCTACAATTAATTTTTTTTAAAATAAAAATTTAAAAAAAGCATGGCATTAAAGGCAATGTAGGTCATTTACAAAGGCAGTGAACTACTCTATAGCAGCATCCTAGGTTTTTCATTATATTGAATGGAACTACTTCAACTGACTGACACAAGAAAAGAGTAGTACACTAAGAGAGCTGAGTGTAGAGAGAGGAAGGAGTAAGGTCATGGGTGTGTGAAGAGCATGACTTAATAAATCAGCCAATCATTCAGGAATGGTTAGCTTTCACACCCTATCCCGGAGATTTTCATATGAACTAATGGAAACTATCACTGGAGGTTCTAGCTCTCAAAATTCTATTTCCTTTTCTTTTTTTTTTTTTTTTTTTTTTCCTGAGACAGGGTCTCGCTCTGTCACCCAGGCTGGAGTGCAGTGACGCCATCTAGGTTCACTGCAGCCTTGACCTCCTGGGCTCAAGCAATCCTTCTACTTCAGCCTCCTGAGTAGCTGGTACCACAAGTGTGCACCACCATGCCTGGCTATTTTTTTTTTTTTTTTTTGTAGAGACTGAGTTTTGCCATTTTGGCCGGGAGCAAACATATTCAGCCAGCCAAGTCCACACTGGTCCAGGCTCCCAGGCTGGTCTCAAAGCCCTGAGCTCAAGCAATTCACCTGCCTTGGCCTCCCAAAGTGCTGGGATGATAGGTGTGAGCCACTGTGTCCAGCCTCAAAATCTTATTAATTAAAGCTTCTCCTGGCAGTAGTAGTACTAGTTTTTTGTTGTTGTTCTTCTTCTTCTTTTCTTCTTCTTTCTCCTTCTTCTTCGTTCTTCTTCTTCCTACTTTTCTTCATCTTCCTTGTCTTCGTCCTCTCCCTCCTCTTCCTCCTCCTCTTCCTCTTCTTCCTCTTCCTCCTTCCTCCTTTCTTCTTCTTCTTTCTTCTTCTTTTTATTTAAGAGACAGTGTCTTGCTCTGTTACCCAGACTGGAGTGCAGTGGCACAATCATAGTTCACTGCAGCCTCGAACTCCTGGGCTCAGGCATTCCTCCGGCCTTGGCCTCCTGAAGTGCTGGGATTACAGGCACAACCCACCACACCTGGCCTGGAAGTCCTACTTCTTGATGCTTTTGTCTTTCAAGATCATCTGTCTTGAAGATCTACTCTCACTAGTTGTAAAATAATTTGTCCTCATATATAGGCACTGAAAGGATTGAATTCAATCTTGAGAGAACATTTAGAGAGATATTCTTGCTAGTACCACAATTTACTACCATTTATTGAGGTACTTTACCTACATTAAGAAAATATCTTTACGGACCTAAGAAGTAGCCATTATTATTCCCTTTATACAGATCTGTGATTCAGAGAAGGGAGCATCTTGATCAAGGTTGCATACCCTTCTAACATTCCACATTGCTTCCCTAATAGATACAAGCTGTGGAGTGAGTCTATAGATGATTATATACTCATTTTAAGATATCTGGCCAGGCGTGGTGGCTCACGCCTATAATCCCAGCACTTTGGGAGGTCAAGGTGGGTGGATCACGAGATCTCCTGATCATCCTGGCTAACATGGTGAAACCCAGTCTCTACTAAAAATACAAAAATTAGTCGGGTGTGGTGGCACGTGCCTGTAGTCCCCGCTACTCAGGAGGCTGAGGCAGGAGAATCGCTTGAACCTGGGAGGCTGAGGTTGCCGCGAGCCAAGATCGTACCACTGCACTCCAGCCTGGGCAACAAAGCAAGACTCCTTCTAAAAAAAAAAAAAAAAAAAAAAGATATCTGAGCTATTTCCTAATTCTGAAAAGACTTTGCAACTAGGGCAGAGATCTTGGTCTGTTATGTTTGGTGATATATCCCAAATGCCTAGAAAAGCACTTGACACATTTAGGAAATACTTGTGGAATAGAAATGTTTAGTTTGGTGTGATCCTTCCAGATGTTTTACTATGAATTTACATGCATATACACAAGCCTAGAAAATAATAGCAAAAAGGTGTGTTTTTATATCTCATACATGAACTTCAAGATAATTCAGGTGTTACCTCAAAATTTCCCTCAATCACAGCACTTAGTGCACTGTATTGTCATTGTCTAATTATTTGTCAGTCTCCCTCATTAGACTGTGAGCTCCTTGAGAGTAGGAAGCATGGTTTTTTTTTTTTTTCATCTCTGTATCCCCAGGGATAGCACATAGTAGGACATAATAAATGTTGAATGGTTAAAAAATAAAAAATGTGTTCCAAAGCAGAATGAATCCTTAATAATCAAGATGTCTTTAAACATACATTTAAAAAAATAATTTCATAAACTTTTGGTGATTTACAAGACATCTATAATATGATAAATTTGCACACTCTCCATTGCATTTTTTTTTTTTTTTTTTAAACAGAGTCTTGCTCTGTCACCCAGCTGTAGTGCAGTGGTGTGATCTCAGCTCACAGCAACCTCTACCTCCCAGGTTCAAGCCATTCTCCTGCCTCAGCCTCTGGAGTAGTTGGGACTACAGGCTCATACCACCACACCCGGCTAATTTTTGTATTTTTAGTAGAGATGGGGTTTTGCCATATTGGCCAGGGTGGTCTCAAACTCCTGACCTCAAGTGATCCGCCCACCTTGGCCTCCCAAAGTGCTGGAATTATAGACATGAGCCACTGCACTTTGCAGGTGATTCTTTACTGCACGATAACTTTTTATTCGAGGCTTTTTAGGAGTTCTGTCTTTTAGTGTCATCATCCTGCCAGAGCAGTTATAAATTAAAATGTGTACTACTTTATTAGAATTTACTTTATGTAAATTAAAATGTATACTACTTTATTAGAATTTACTTTATGTCTCCTTTATGTTATAATCAGGAGGTTGAATTGTTTTGTTTTTAAAGTATGTATGTATTTGGCTATATTTTCTATTTCACTTCAAGATATAAAAGGGGTAGCTCACAAAATATTTGTTTTAAAAATGAACATTAGTCTGGTAGGGTTCAAGAGTCATTGTTCTATACAAAATATTTATTAATCTGAGACAAATCTAACAATTTAGCAGTAGTACAAATTTTACCTTCAGTTCCATGAATTTTTATATATATATATATATATATATATATATATATATTTTTTTTTTTTTTTTTTTTTTTTTTTTTTTAGATGGAGTTTCATTCTTATTGCCCAGGCTGGAGTGCAATGGTACAGTCTCGGCTCACTGCAACCTCTGCCTCCCAGGTTCAAGCGATTCTCCTGCCTCAGACTCCCAAGTAGCCAGGATTACAGGTGCCATGCCTGGCTAATTTTTTTGTGTTTTTAGTAGAGTCAGGGTTTTACCATGTTGTCCAGGCTGGTCTTGAACTCCTGACCTCAGGTGATCAGCCCGCCTTGGCCTCCCAGAGTGCTGGGATTACAGGCTTGGCCAGAATTTATACATTTTAATCTGCTTCTTTTGGCCTTTGTTATTTATTATGCTTTGTTATTTATTATGGCCTATGTTATTTCTTACATGAAGAGGTGAACAATTGCCTCATTACAATGGAATCTTAACACTTCTACCCTAGGAGAAAGCCTTGCATCTGGAGAGGGCTCTCTTTCTCTTTCACTACCATTCTTCCAATGCATTTGTTTCCATATCCCGAAAGGCAAAGGCTATTCTCTGAATTAGGAGGTTCATAGAAAACCTTTGTAAACACTTTGAAAGGCTCTACTTTGGGCCTAGTACAGAAAGCAACTGGCCCTCAGCCATTCTCTTGGCAGGGGTCAGCTTCCTGGTCTGCAGCTTGGGAACGTTGACAGAATGTGTGCCCCTTCCCACCTTTGTCCCCTTTTTTGGAGAGTGCGTAATTAATGCCTCATGAAATCTTGCTTTAAATTTTCAAGCTAGCCAGGTATGGTGGCTCACACCTGTAATCCCGCCACTTAGGGAGGCAGAGGCGGGAGGATCGCTTGAGGCATGGAGTTTGAGACCAGCCTGGGCAACATAGCAAGACCTTGCTTTTCACACACACACACACACACACATACACACACACACACACACACACACGGAAAAAAAGTCAAGCAACTGCTTTTAACAATACTTTCCCCCATAATATTTAATTAGTCATGATTTGTTTTCTTCTAAAGTCATACTCTCAGCCAGGCATAGTGGCTCATACCTGTAATCCCAGCACTTTGGGAGGCCAAGGTGGGTGGATCATGAGGTCAGGAGTTCAAGACCAGGCTGGCCAACATAGTGAAACCCTCCTCTATTAAAAATACAAAAATTAGCCAGGCATGGTGGCACACACCTGTAATCTCAGCTACTCGGGAGGCTGAGGCAGGAGAATCACTTCAACCTGGGAGGTGGAGGTTGCAGTGAGCTGAGATCGTGCCACTGCCCTCCAGCCTGGGCGACAGTGTAAGACTCTGTCTCAGGAAAAAAAAAAAAAAGTCATATTCTCCATTAGCATACTTTATCATCATTTAAATATTTTCTGGGAAACCATGTGAGCAGAAAGAGGTAAGAGTATTTGGAGAGTATTACATTTAAAATTGTTTTTATATCAATTTAAATTTATAAATAGGCTTATGGGCCAGGCACAGTGTCTCACAGCTGTAATCTCAGTATTATGGGAGGCCGAGGTGGGAGGAGGATCCCTTGAGCTCAGGAGTTCGAGACTGGCTTGGGCAACATAGTGAGACCTTGTATCTACAAAATTTTTAAAAAATTGATGAGCGGGTGTGGTGACTTATGCCTGTAATTCCAGCACTTTGGGAGGCAGAGGTGGGCAGATCACTTGAGGCCAGGAGTTTGAGAACAGCCTGGCCAATAGAGTGAGACTCTATCTCTACTAAAAATACAAAAAAAAAAAAAAAAAAAATAAGCTGGGTGTGATGGCGCATGCCTGTACTCCCAGCTACTCAGGAGTCTGAGGCACGAGAATCACTTGAACCTGGGAGGCAGAAGTTGCAGTGAGCTGAGATCGCGCCACTGCACTCCACCTTGGGCAACAGACTCACTTGGGCAACATGTCTCAAAAATAAATAAATAAATAATAAGTAAATAAATAATTAGGTGTGGTGGTGCACGCCTGTAGTCCCAGCTACTCGGGAGGCTGAGGCAGGAAGATTGCTTGAGCCAGGGAAGTTGAGGCTGCAGTGAGCTATGGTCATGCCACTACACTCCAACCTGGGCGATAGAGGAAGATCCTGTCCCTAATAAATAAATAGGCTTATGAAAAAGGTTAAGGAGCATTTCAGGCAATTGCCTTATTTTACATTTTTGGTTGGGAAAATACAGAGGACTTTAAAGATGAATATCAAAACTACCTCCAAATCTACCATCCAGAGATAACCACATTTAACAATTTGGTATGACTTTCATAGTTATTTACTACAATAATGTGTGTGAGTATATATGTGTACTAATTTTGTTGTTACAGAATTGACACTTTTTTCTATGCATTTTGCTTTTTGACCTACTTTAAAAGAATTTAACAATATATCATAAGAATTGCCCATGCTATTGAGAGTGTTTCTTTTGTTATCTGGATAATACTATTATGTTTGCTCACTTTCCCTGTGATAGTTTGGAAGGTAGTTCTCATATTTTAAATATCCACTACTGCTGCCTTTCGGGTTTTTGTTTGTGTGTATGTATATATGTATATGCTAATGTTTTTGTTTGTGTGCGTGTGTATATATATATATATATATATATATATATATGCACATGTATATGCATGTTTTCCCTAATCAATGCCAGGAGAAAACGGTATTTATTAACTTTATTTCTGCAAGATGGGAAAGTTGGCACATTTACTACCTCTCTCTCCAACTCCCACGTTTCCTAGTTTTTTGTTGATACAATCTAGGATTATTTAAATCAATTATTATCATTATTAATAAATGCTGAAGTCATATATTTTCTTTTTGTATTAGGTTATTTCTTGCTTCTGGCTTTATTATTTAAAAACTGTAAAATCGACAAATAATTGTACATATTCATGCAGTACATAGTGACGTTGTGATACATATAATGTATAGTGATCAGATCACAGTAATTAGCATATCCATCATCTCAAACATTTATCATTTCTTCATGTCGGGAACATTCAGTATCTTCCTTCTAGCTATTTGAAACTATATACATTCAATATCTTCCTTCTAGCTGTTTGAAACTATGTATTATTATTAACTAGAGTCATCCTACAGTGGTATAGAACACTAGAACTTAGTCCTCTTTCCTAGCTGTAATTTTGTTCTGGTGAGCCCAGATCGCACCAGTGCACTCCAACCTGGGTGATAGAGTAAGACTCTGTTCCAAAAAAAAAAGAAATGCATTCTGATTTGCTTTACCACTTCAGGGAGAAGGGAGAGAGCAAGACACAGACGATATTAGAGAAGGGAATTTGGACTTTACAAAATTTTCTTTGCTATAAAATGTCTGAATTTCATTAACATATAAGCCTTTTGTTTCAGTCTGCAAATGTTTATACATTATCTTATTTTATCCTTAAAACAATTGCTTTAGAGTCAAATAATCATAACCTCTGAATTCAGAAGGTTGTGGACTGAATACTTCCCTAATGATGGAACTTCTTGCGGATTACTTAAGTTTTCTTAACCTCATTTCCTTCGCCTGGAAACCAGCGTTTGAACTCTGGGAAAAGGTAACATCTACCTCATAGAGTTGTAAATATTGTGGGAGATAATTATATAGGAATTGTCAGAACCCAGACTGATGATAATAGCCATGCCCTGAGTTAGCCCAGGAGTGTGAAGCGGAGAGACCTTCAACAATGGAACCCTGAGGACATAGAGGAGAAGTCAACAGGAGGCTGAGAAGGAGTAGCCAGAGGGTAGGAGGAAGACTAGAAGAGAGTGAAGTCGGGGAGTTAAAGGGACTATAGACATTTAAGATGAAAAGAATAGTCATTAGTGTCATGTATTATGACAAAGAAATTTCCGGTAGCTTTGGCAATTAGGAACTTAGTGTGAGCTCAGCCACAGGCAGTTTCAGTAGAGATATGCAGGTAGAAGGAAGACTGTAGTTGGATTGATTAATGAGGTTAAGGAAGCAAGGAAAGTGTAAACAGCCAATAAAAAAAAAAAAAATGTTTCTCCCTTAGGAGAAAGGGAAAGCATAGAGAAAGGAGAGAGGTGGGTCAGTAGCTAGACAGATACTTAAGATTGGGAAACTGGATTTAGATTTGAAGGAATAGCAAAATTTTTTAAAAATTTAAGGACTAGGCTGGGCGCAGTGGCTTATGCCTGTAATCCCAGCACTTTGGGAGGCCGAGGCGGGCGGATCACTAGGTCAGGAGATCGAGACCATCCTGGCTAACACAGTGAAACCCCGTGTCTACTAAAAATACAAAAAAATTAGCCGGGCATGGTGGCAGGCGCCTGTAGTCCCAGCTACTCGGGAGGCTGAGGCAGGAGAATGGCGTGAACCCGGGAGGCGGAGCTTGCAATGAGCCGAGATTGCGCCACTGCACTCCAGCCTGGGCGACAGAGCGCGACTCTGTCTCAAAAAAAAAAAAAAAAAAAATTTAAGGACTAAAAGTTTGCCATATTTAAATTTTTTCAAGTAAGGATATTAAAAATACTACTATCTAGGCTGGGCATAGTGGCTCACACCTGTAATCCTAGCACTTTCAGAGGCTGAGGCAGGCTGATAGCTTGAGCCCAGGAGTTTGAGACCAGGCTGGGCAACATAGTGAAAACCTGTCTCTACAAAAGATACAAAAATTAACCAGGTGTGGCGGCATGCACCTGTAGTCCCAGCTACTTGGGAGGCTGAGGTAGGAGGATCGCTTGAGCCCAGGAGGTTGAGGCTGCAATGAGCCATGATTGTGCCACTACACTGCTGCCTGGGCAACAGAGTGAGACCCTGTCCCAAAATGAATGAATAAATAAATAAATAAAATTACTACCTAATATTATTTCAGAAAAGACAGAAAATACTAACATTTAAAAATTGAATAACCTAACTTTGTGAGAAAGTTAGTATCTCAGTGAAGATTTTCTTTTCCTGCTTAAGAGTGTCTTTTCCCCGCTGGTTGAAGGTTCCATCTCTCCTTGTTTAGGGATTTGGCTTAATCAGTTTTCTTCTCTCAAATACTTTCAACGTCTTCTTCTCTATTGACTCTTTTCCATTAGCAAATAAGCATAGTCTACTCACCTATCTTAAAAAAAAGCACAGGTCAGCTGGGCACGGTGGCTCATGCCTGTAATCCCAGCACTTTGGGAGGCTGTGAGGGTGTTTGGTCAGGAGTTCGAGACCAGCCTGACCAATATGATGAAACCCCGTCTCTACTGAAAATACAAAAATTAGCTGGGCGTGGTGGCGGGCACCTGTAGTCCCAGTTACACGGGAGGCTGAGACAGGAGAATGGCCTGAACCCGGGAGGTGGAGGTTGCGGTGAGCTGAGATCGCACCACTGCACACCAGCCTGGGTGACAAAGTGAGACTCCGTCTCAAAAGAAAAAAAAAAACACAGGTCAAAGTTAGTGAGAACCTAAATGAAAGTTGTGGCAGAGGGGATTGGGAGGAGGGGCTAGATGGGATAGATGGGATATAAATAGTGTTAATGGGACTTGGTGACTGATTGAATACGGCAGGTGAGAGATAGAGGGAGGAATCTAAAAATAAATCCTAGAGACCTGGTTTGGGTTTATGGTACACGGTGCAGTCATAGAAAAGGAGGAGCAGGGCTGGGAGAATGAAAACCTGTAACTTCAGTCCAATGTGCCTTAGGGTGTGTAGGTCAGGAACTCTGACTCTGCCTTTGAATCCTGCTCCTGTATCCTCCTAACTAAGCTTCCATTCTACCTCAACACCCATTGTCATGACTCCTTTTCATAGTTGGCCCTTAAGCCTTCATTTCTGGGGTTATTTAACTATTGGGAGTTCAAACCCTGCTTCCTAGAGTTTGTGAGCCAACAGAATGTGTTTGTTTGTTTGTTTTTGTTTTCATTTTTGTTTTCTGAAAACAAATGAAAATGAACTAGTTGATAGAAATATGAGTACACTTGTAAATAGAGGATGTTAAAATGGAACTGTTTTAGTTTCCGTGTTAGCTGTGGCCTAAGACAATAGAAGCCGCCTTCCAAAGTCAGGTAAGAATACAAAGCAGGTGGAAAAGGAAGCACAGGAGAACAGGTCAGCATTGTCCTCCAACCAGGTTAGCTCACTGACCACATCCAGCCAATGAAACAGGTAGGAGAGGCCAAGAAGATAAAGATTAGAAGATGATTTTTAGAGAGTTGATGATGGGCTTGAGTCCCTCCCTCCTGGCCACCATGGGAGAGGGGTGTAAGGTCCTTGCCCCTTCAACCTACATCTAGAGATAGGAGTTTTATGCAGACCATTTGGAGTACTTAATGTGCATCCCCCCACAGATTGAAAGGCATAGTGGACCAGTATGCATGCCTGAGAAATCTAAAGAACAAGAGACCTGCTGGCTGGCTCCTCTGATGGTGGAGCAAAAGAGATGTAGCACATTGTCTTATAGTTTGATAGAGCACAGAGTTGTTTCCCAGAGACCAAAGGTAGACCACACAGGTCACTGACGGGGCCTGGGGTCATCTCAAATCATGTGTAAGCATGCCTTTTGGACCCCAGCAAGAAACAGCCATAAGTAACCATCTGCAGAAAGCAATCTGCAGGTGAAATATCTCCAGTGATGAGAGTGGGCTGGGAGCGTCTCTACTTCCCAACTTCCCATCTCCACCACTACCATCCCACCTGGGCTCAAGAGAAGAAGTAAGCTTTATTTATTTATTTATTTATTTATTTTTTGAGATGAGTCTCGCTTTGTCGCCCAGGCTGGAGTGTAGTGGCACAATCTCTGCTCACTGCAACCTCCGCCTGCCGGGTTCAAGCAATTCTCTGCCTCAGCCTCCTGAGTGGCTGGGATTACAGGCGCCCACCACCACGCCCGGCTAATTTTTTTGTATTTTTAGTAGAGACAGGGTTTCACCATCTTGGCCAGGCTGGTCTTGAACTCCTGACCTTGTGATCCACCCGCCTCGGCCTCCCAAAGTGCTGGGATTACAGGCGTGAGCCACCGCGCCCAGCCCGAAGTAAGCTTTAAATGCCCACCAAGCCTGTAGATCACCAGCCTTAGGTCATTGCAATTGTCTTAATCAAGGAAGAACTTTCCTTCTGCCTCTTCCTCTCCCTACCGCTTCCCCAGAATGAGGGATTAGTATCAGAAACTGGGGTTGCCTAAATTAGCAATCTAGCTAAGGAGAATACAATCTTCCCATGTCTACCTTCCCCAGTACAAGTGGCTGGCGTTCGTTCATTCAGCAGGCCACAGCTGAAGGAGGAGGAGAGGTTTAACTTCACATCAAGTTGGAAGAGTTGGAGTGCTATATTAGATTGGACACATCGATTACAAAACTGTGACTGATTTTCTGGACTTGGGGTGACTTGAAGTGTTTTCATCATTTAAGAATAATTAGAAAAGTCATGGCAAGCTGGCTGCAGTGGCTCACGCCTGTAATCCCAGCACTTCGGGAGGCCCAGGTGGGTGGACTACTTCAGCCTTTAACTCCTGGGCTCAGGGAATCTGCCCACCTCAGCTTCCCAAAGGGTTGGGATTACAGACGTGAGCCACTGCACCCTGCCCGGATCTTCTTTACTCAGATTTACTCAAACTTCAGATGTTAATCTCTCTCTCTCTCTTTTTTTTTTTTTTTTTGACAGAGTCTTGCTCCATCACCCAGGCTGGAGTGCAGTGGCATGATCTCGGCTCACTGCAACCTCTGCCTCCTGGGTTCAAGCGATTCTTCTGCCTTAGCCTCCCAAGTAGCTGGGATTAGGCACCTGTCACCACACCTAGCTAATTTTTGTATTTTTAGTAAAGATGGAGTTTCACCATGTTGGCCAGGCTGCTTTCAAACTCCTGACCTCAAATGATCCGCCCACCATGGCCTCCCAAAGTGCTGGGATTACAGGCGTGAGCCATCGCACCCGGCCTCAGATGATAATCTCTTGCACAAACACCCTCACAGATATATCCAGAAATGATGTTTGACCAACTATCTGGGTATCCCATAGTCAAGTTGACACATAATATTAATCATCACAAAGAGACAGTGGAGAAAACAGACCCCTTCGGTATAATAGTCATGTAAAACCATCTATAGATTTTCAGTGATATATGATTAGCAAAAGGATAGAAGAGAAGGGCAGAGATGGCTATTTTATGAATTAAACGTATTCACAGAAATGTCACAATAACTTTTTATTTCTTAAAATGATGCTAGGAGCATTTAAATCAGTTTACGTATATATTAGGTAATTTTATTTATTTACTTTTTTTTTTTTTTTTTTTTGAGATGGAGTTTCACTCTTGTTGCCCAGGCTGGAGTGCAATGGCACGATCTTGGCTTACTGCAGCCTCCACCTCACGGGTTTAAGCGATTCATCTGCCTCAGCCTCCCAAGTAGTTGGGACTACAGGCACGTGCCACCATACCTGGCCAATTTTTGTATTTTCAGTAGAGATGGAGTTTCACCATATTGGCCAGGCTGGTCTGGAACTCCTGACCTCGTGATCCGCCCGCCTTGGCCCCTCCCAAAGTGCTGGGATTACAGGCATGAGCCACCGTGCCTGGCCTATTTACTTATTTATTTATTTATTTATTTTTTGAGATGGGGCTCTGTTGCCCAGGATGGACTGAAGTGGTGCTATCATGGTTCACTGCAGCCTTGAATTCCTGGGCTCAAGCGATCTTCCTGTCTCAGCCTCCTGTGTAGCTGGGACTACAGGCATGTGCCACCATGCCTGGCTAATTTTTTAATTTTTTGTAGAGATAGGGGTCTCCCTATGTTGCCTAGACTGGTCTTGAACTCCTAGGGTTAAGCAATCCTCATGCCTTTAATGCTGGGATTATGAGCATGAGCCACCATGCCTGGCCTACATTAGGTCATTTTATTTTTAAAAATTATTTAATAAATTATTTATTTGTGAGACAGGGTCTCACTCTGTCACCCCGGCTGGAGTGCAGTGGCATGATCTTGGCTCACTGCAACCTCTGTCTTCCAGGCTCAAGCAATCCTCCCACTTCAGCCTCCCAAGTAGCTGGAGCTACAGATGCACACAACCATGCCCAGCTAATTTTTAAATTTTTAGTAGAGATGAGGTCTCCCTATGTTGCCCAGGCTGGTCTTGAACTCCCAGGCTCAAAGGATCTGCCTGCCTCGGCCTCCCAATGTGCTGGGATTACAGGTGTGAGCCACTGTGCCTGGCCTACATTAGGTAATTTTAAAATGAGGTTTACAATCTGTTCTACAGCTGGGGAAATGATCTGAGATATTGCCTGGGTGTAATAAGCACATAAGACATTCTTCTCCTTCTGTTCCAGAGAATCACAGAAGCAATAAACAGCTAAGATTTATTGTTCACCATTTGTATTCTGCTACTGATCAATTAAAACAAAACAAAACAAATGTGTGTGTTCCTGTAAAACAATAAAGATGATGCCCATTAGCCAATAAAATGTAGAATAAACAAGAATGCTAATGGCTTTCTCTTTTCAGCTTTTAGGAATTTTAAAAGGGCTTTAAATTAGCTTTTAGATTATCTTCCCAGAATTTGCAACATTATTACTCAATCGAAGTCTTTTAATGGCAAAGGAGTGAAAAGGGACAATCTAAATAACATTTCTATTAATGTGTTCCTAAAAGTTGAAAAGACAACTTGAAAAACACGTGTGAGTTGCACATAAAATGTTTACAATGGTGGGGAACACATGCAATTTATTTCATAGAAGTGGAACTTTGGACCCAGAGGTAGGCTATTAGATTGGCCTGGAAAGATGGAAGAAAGATGACGACTGGGCACGAAGGCATGACTCAGCCTTCTGTGGTTCCAGTGTAAAACCTTCCTGTGCCTGTAGAATTCTAAGGGCAATGCCGTGTTGCCCTGGTGTGCTGCTGAATGCCTGCTATCCTTTAGTATAGTCGTAAGAGCATGAGTGCTAGAATATGCCTCAGGCATAGTCCATTTTCTTTCTCTTTCTTTTTTATTTTTTTGTTTGAGACGGAGTCTCGCTCTGTCACCCAGGCTGGAGTGCAGTGGCACGATCTTGGCTTACTGCAAGCTCCGCCTCCCGGGTTCATGCCATTCTCCTACCTCAGCCTCCCGGTAGCTGGGACTACAGGTGCCTGCCACCACGCCTGGCTAATTTTTATTTATTTATTTATTTATTTTTTTTTGTATTTTTAGTAGACACGGGTTTTACAGTGTTAGCCAGGATGGTCTCAATCTCCTGACCTTGTGATCCGCCCGCCTCGGCCTCTCAAAGTGGTGGGATTACGGGCGTGAGCCACCGCGCGTGGCCAGGCATAGTCCATTTTCTATTATTGCTTTTTCCCCGTGGTAGGTAAAATGCCAAGGTGTGGCCCAGGATTCCTACCTGCTGGTATCTACACCCTGTAAAGGAAGGGTCTCCTTGAGTGTGAGTGTGACTTGTGAAGATGATGGGTGTGAAGACATGGGATGGCGTGACTCCCATGATTACATTACATCGCATAAGACTCTGTCAAAGCTCACTGGAAAGCAGCTCTCCCACTGGCTTTGCAGAAGCAAGCCATTTTGTGAGAGCCATGAGACCGGGACTCTAGAGCAGCCACTAAGTCCTGCTCTAGAATTCTGTAGCCATGAAACAACTTGTCCTAAGTTGTTTCATGGATACAGAAAATGAATACACCCCCTATTTTCTCTAGTCTACACTCTTAGATTTATTATAAGTGTTACTAGAAATTCTGTTTTTGTGCTCCTTAACTTCATATATTTCCCATTAAATTTTTCTCCCTCTGTATTGTGCCCTGGGCTTTCTTCAGCTTTATCTTTAATTTCACAAATTCTCTCTTCAGCTGGCTGTACTGATCAGTCTCTGCTTTGATAATTCAGTGTAACGAACCCCGGCAGTGACTTAATAGCCGATCCCGATTTCTTGCTCACATTGCACGTCAGTGGCTGCAGGTGGAGAGCAGTGTCTCTGCTCCAAGGTCATGTAAAGTAGACCTTGTGTACCTTCTCACTCTGAGACCCAGGCTGAAGGAAGAGAGCAGCTCCTCTCTGGGATGTGAGGTTCTCATGGTGGGCAGTAGGGCTGACTGAGCCTTGAAATGCTTCCTAAATCCTCTGCTTACGACTGGCTGCATTGTCATTTAGGCCATTGGTCAAAACAAGTCAGTGGTCCAGCCCAACATCAATGAGATGCAGAACTAGATTCCTCCCCAGGGGAAGAAGCAAGGAGTATTTTTGAATAACAATACAATCCGTTATAATGGCCTACTTTAGTTTTTTATTTTTCCATTAATTATATTTTTAATAGATCTCTATTGGTTCTTTTTGAATCTCCTTTTATTTCATAATGTCCTTTTCTTGACTTACGTATTCTATTCCATCCATTATCTTTTCAAACATTTTAAAACCATTAACATTAACATTCTTAGTGCTTTATCCTTTGTACTTTCAATGGAGTCAATTATCTTTTTTGTTTCATCTCTCCTGTTTTTTGTTTGTTTGTTTGTTTGAGATGGAGTTTCGCTCATTTTGTCCAGGCTGGAGTGCAGAGGCGCGATCTCGGCTCACTGCAACATCTGCCTCTCGGTTCAAGCAAATCTCCTGCCTCAGTCTTCCAAGTAGCTAGGATTACAGGCATGCACCACCATGCCCGGCTAATTTAGTATTTTTAGTAGAGATGGGGTTTCACCATGTTGATCAGGCTGCTCTCAAACTCCTGACTTCAGGTGATCCTTGATCTCCCAAAATGCTGGGATTACAGGTATGAGCCACCATGACTGGCCTAACTCTTTTTTTTTTTTTTTTTTTTTTGAGACAGACTCTTCCTCTGTCACCCAGGCTGGAGTGTAGTGATGTGATCATGGCTCACTGCAGCCTCAACCTCCCAGTCTCAAGCAATCCTCCCACATCAATCCTCTCACCCAGCTCTCAGTATAGCTGGGACTACAGATGTGTGCCACCATGCTGGGCTGATTTTTAATTTTTTTTTTTTTTTTTTTTTGTAGAGATGAAGTCTCATTATATTGCCTATGCTTGTCTTGAACTCCTGGCCATAAGCGATCCTTTTGCCTCAGCCCCTCAAAGTACTGGAATTACAGGCATGAGCCACTGCACCCAACTTCTGTCTTATTGCTAATTCCCTCTTTCTCAGGGTGGTTCATTGGCTCATGAGCCTTATCATTTTTGACTCTAACTTCATCAACAGGTTCCACATGTTCTGTGGTGCAGTGGTGTTCCTGTGAAGCAGTTTTATATTTCATTTGTCAAGTCCTGCGTATTTTCTTAGTTTTGGACCTGGTTTCCAATCCTGTGTAGTTAAGGTGCACTTGAATTCCTTTCATCTACCTTGAACAGGCTTAAATCTCTAATTTCTCGTGAGTGATTCTTTTTCCATGCATAGTCCACAGCAAGTGGCAAGCTTTTGTACTGCTTCCCTCTTGAGAGGAAGGTGGTATTCTTTTTTTTATTCGTTCCTCCCTTCTGACTTTATATATTAAAATAAGAAAAAAATAAAATATATGTATATGTATATATACACACATATACATAGACACACACACATTATATATATATATGTATACATGTATATATATTCTTTATAATTTACATTTTTTTAGACGTGGGGGTCTTGCTGTGTTGCCCAGGCTGGTCTCAAATTCTTGGCCTCAAGAGATCCTCCTGTCTCATCCTCCCAAAGTGCTGAGATTACAGGTGCCAGCCACCATGCCCAGTCTATTATTTATATAAGGTGTTTAATTTCAGCTCCATGTGGTAGATAAATGCCACACTGGAAAGTGGGTATCCTATTGTCATATTTGTACTAGGTCTTCAATTCCTACTCAACATTGTGGGTTTTGAGTTTCTTTTCTGTTTCTGAGGGATTGCCCTTTCTAGCTTTCTGCCCAGCTATGCGTTTAAAAATATTTTGTTGGCCAGGCGCGGTGGCTCATGCCTGTAATCCCAGCACTTTGGGAGGCTGAGGCCGGCGGATCACCTGAGGTCAGGAGTTCGAGACCAGCCTGGCCAACATGGTGAAACCCCGCCTCTACTAAAAATACAAAAATTAGCTGGGCATGGTGGCATGCGCCTGTAATCCCAGCTACTCGGGAGGCTGAGCCAGAAGAATTGCTTGAACCTGGGAGGCGGAGGTTGTGTTGAGCCGAGATCGCGCCATTGTACTCCAGCCTGGGGCACAGAGCAAGACACCGTCTCAAAAAAAAAAAAAAAATTTGTTACATTCAGCCAGGCATAGTAGCCCATGCCTGTAATCCCAGCACTTTGGGTTTTGGGAGTCTGAGGCAGGCAGATCACTTGAGGCCAGGAGTTCGAGAGGCCTGGCCAACATGGCAAAATCCCATCTTTACTAAAAATACAAAAAAAATTATCCAGGTGTGGTGGCACACACCTATAATTCCAGCTATTTGGGAGGCTGAGGCACAAGAATCACTTGAACCCAGGAGGTGGGGGTTGCAGTGAGCCGAGATCGCACCACTGCACTTCAGCCTGGACGGCACAAAACTCTGTCTCAAAAAAATTGTTACATTTTATTCAGAGCTTATGTGTGTTAACATAGAAGGGTGTGGGATGGGGTGGGCTTCCCAAATTAGCTCAGCATGCCTTATTGCCTAGAAGTCCTTAAATTCATTTTGTGACCTTTCCCCACAAAATCCTATTTGAATTTTTATTGGAATTACACTGAATCTATACAGTTATTTGGAGAGAATTTACGTATTTAAAATAGTGAGGCCAGGTTTAGTCCTGTAATCCCAGCATTTTGGGAGGTCAATGTGGGAGGATCACTTGAACCCTGGAGTTCAAGACTCCTGGCTAATTAAAAAATTAAAAATTAAAAAATTAGCTAGTCATGGTGGAGCATGCCTGTGATCCCAGCTACTCAGGAGGCTGAGGTGGGAGGATCACTCAGGCCTGGGAGGTTGAAGCTGCAGTGAGCCATGATTGTGCCACTGCACTCCAGCCTGGGTGACAGAGCAAGACCCTATCTCAAAAAGTAAACAAGCAAATAAATAAATAAATAAATAAAATATTGAATTCTCTCATCTATGAATGTGTGTATATCTTACCATTTATTTAAGATTTCTTTTTTCTGTCCTACTGAAATCATGCATTCAAAAGATAGATACTGTGTACTTATTATTAAATTTAGATCTAGGTTTTATATTTTATTCTTGGCTTATTATTGTGTAATTTCTGGCTTGCTGAATAACCATGAGCAAATTATCTAATCATTATAGTTTTAATTTGGTTGAACTGTTAAATTACTATTATTCAACTCAAGTGTTTAGTAAGTACAAAGCAATGAACTTACTGGATAATTAAGTTGTTTAATATCAAGATATTACAGTTCAGAAAGATAAAATATACATTTATCAAAATTACTCAAGATGCACATAACTAAAACTTTTTGAAACATAAGTAAAAATAGAAACTGCAAAGAGAGGAGTAAACTAAATTAATAAATATGATTTTGTACTTGATGCATGCCAGAGTCAGAATTTGTAAAATCACTGATTGAAGGATGGAAATTGGCCGGGTGTTGTGGCTCACACTTGTAATCCCAGCACTTTGGGAGGCTGAGGTGGGCGGATCACCTGAGGTCAGGAGTTTGACACCAGCCTGGCCAACATGACAAAACCCTGTCTCTACTAAAAATACAAAAATTAGCCGGGTGTGGTGGTGGGTGCCTGTAATCCCAACTACTTGGGAGGCTGAGGCGGGAGAATAGCTTGAACCTGGGAGGCGGAGGTTGCAGTGAGCCGAGATCACACCACTGTACTCCAGCCTGGGTGACAGAGTGAGACTCTGTCACAAAAAAAAAAAAAAAAAGAAGGAAATTGTGGAACTTTGAGCAGACTTAGGACTGTTGGTAGACAGGGGTGTTCAGTTTTAGGCAACAGACATTAAGTGAGCTGGGTGATCTTCATTCTTAGGGTGTGGTTAAGAGTCAAAGACACAACAGAAACATTAAGTTTCCAAAGAGGCCTTGTAGAGGTGTCAGTGAAAACTCTCTGCCAAAGCCCATCCCCGTTTCTAAACATGAAATCTGTGAAATACCATGCAGATCCAACATTAAAGCCTTCTCAACAGTTGTACCAGAAGATGGCAACCACTGTGGTTCTTCTTTCACTACAGTGCCACTATGTAATCAATACATTATTATTGCTTACAGAGCCTTATTGATTTAACTCTATAGTGCTCTTTTCTCATTGGCTCCATTTATTAATATAGACACTTAGAGCTGGAGGGAACTTCAGAGATTTAGAATTTACAAACTAAAGATGTGTATCAGAATCTTTTTGTGGAACATTTTGTTTTCTTTTCTTTTCTTTTTTGAGACAGAGTCTTGCTCTGTCGTCCAGGCTGGAGTGCAGTGGTGTGATCTTGGCTCGCTGCAACCTCCACCTCCCGGGTTCAAGCCATTCTTCTGCCTCAGCCTCCCAAGTAGCTGGGATTACAGGCGCCCGCCACCATGCCTGGGGAATTTTTTTTGTATTTTTAGTAGAGACGGGGTTTCACTGTGTTAGCCAGGATGGTCTCAATCTCCTGACCTCGTGATCCACCCACCTTGGCCTCCCAAAGTGCTGGGATTACAGGCGTGAGCCACCGCGCCTGGCCAACATTTTCAAAATACACATGACACCTTCTGAATTAGCAGGTCTGGAGTGCGGGTGGGTATGTGTGTTTGGAAGAGTTTCCTAGGTAATCTGACAAAGTGTTCTGGTTAGGAATTATTTCTCTAGTCTAACCCCTTAATTGTGTAGAGGAGAGACTTTACTTGGAAGAAAAATGCTTCTAATTTAAGATTGCCTTCGTTAACATAGGCAGTTAGAAAATTTAGGCCTTAATGATTCAATTTCTCCAGTTCTTTCTGAGCTCCTATTTCACCACCATCAAGCTGTAATTTTGTTTCTGACTTAAGGACTTGGGGTTTAGGTAGACCTCTATTTTCAAAACAAATCTCTTTATCTCTATAATGTGATGAATGAACAATGCTCTACAGTTTTGGGTTTAGGAATCATGATAAGCTCTTTAATTATAATAATTCAAGTTAGTTGTAAACAGGTGCAGCAGGGAGACAGCCGACAGACCCACTGGGCCCAATGCTGGAAACCATTCTGAAGTTTTTCAGTGTCTATGGGGCAAAGACTTAGCTCTGGCTGGAAAAAAATATATATAGATATATTTTTTGACAGAGTTTCGCTCTTGTTGCCCAAGCTGGAGTGCAATGGTGCGATCTTGGCTCACTGCAACCTCTGCCTCCCGAGTTCAAGTGACTCTCCTGCCTCAGCCTCCTGAGTAGCTGGGACTACAGTCATGCACCACCATGCCTGGCTAATTTTGTATTTTTAGTAGAGACAGGGTTTCTCCATGTTTGTCAGGCTGGTCTCGAACTGCCAACCTCAGGTGATCCACCCACCTCAGCCTCCCAAAGTGCTGGGATTACAGGCGTGAGCCACCGCACCTGGCCAGGAAATAATTTTTCTAGATCGACGAAGTTTATTTTACATTAATGTATATCTGAAGTAGTGAATGGCATGTTCAATTTATGACCTGGCATCATCTCCCACCCTGGACACATTTAATGACTTTTCAAGTCAGATTTTGGAAATATGGTTAACCAGACTTGGGGTTTCTGCAAATATAAGTTTGCTTTTTCAGAAGGGTAAAGTAGGCTTCTGTAGACAATTGAAAAGCAAGAATGTCTGTCCTTTCCTCACATTGAATATTAGGAAGAAACCCCACAGAGAATCTTAGCATTCGTGGAAAAGAAAAGAGTTAACTTTAATCTTAGTTCGGACCATTCACTTTAGTTTATTAGTAGCTAACCAGGCTCTTTTTCACATTGGGCCCCACATTCAGCTTCCTTAACTACACTGATTGAGACAGGACCACCCAGGTTGAAGTGCAGTGGTTCACTCATAGCTCATTGCAGCTTTGAACTCCTGGGGTTAAGTGATCTCGCCTCAGCCTCCTGAGTAGCTGTCACTACAGGTACGCACCACCCATGCCTAGCTATTTTTTTATTTTTTGTAGAGATTGGGTCTTGCTATATTGGTCAGCTGGTCTAAAACTTGTGGCCTTAAGTGATCCTCCTACATCAGCCTCCCAAACTGCTAGAATTACAGGAATGACCCACCATGCCCGGCCCAGATCAAGATGTTTACTAACATAGGATCTAAATAGAGTGTCTTGGCTTTAAGTGACTAGCTTCACAATCTACCTTTTGTTAGAACGGATTAGGGAGTCATGTATCTAATTTCATATTTTCCTTTATCAGACAGGAGCTTATACTATTATCTTTCCATATTATATAAAACCAAGTGTTTCTTTTTCTTTCAAGATCAGCCTAATGATCAGGAATAAATAAGAGTGCCCATATCTCATCAACTGGTTGGACAGGATGACTTTAGTTCACATTAAGAGTATGGGCCGATTCCTATAAGGAAAAAGTATAATGCTACATTATTGCTTTGTAGAATTTAGAATTCCCTCAACCCTATAAGAAAAGGGACAAATACAAGTATAGAGAAATAAATAACAAAAAGATTGTGTATCAAAACATAGTAAAGCACAGTCAGGTCTAGAATGAACAGAAAACTTTTGCTTTGGTGAGAAAAGCTGCTCCTAGATGTTGGTGTAAGATTCTTTGGTGCAAGCCAAACAACATACTATAATTCCTTGAACAAAGTGAGATTTTCTGCTTCTGTGACTATTAAGAAAGCACAATAAAAAAAGCAACAAAACAAAACAAATGCCAACCAAGAAATAATTATTTTTGTATGGTTTTTTGAATTAAGACTTTTTTTTTGGAGACGGAGTCTTGCTCTGTTGCCCAGGCTGGAGTGCAGTGGTGCAATCATGGCTCACCGCAACCTCCACCTCCCAGGTTCAAGTGATTCTCCTGCCTCAGCCTCCTGAGTAGCTGGGGCTACAGGCACGTGCCACCATGCCTGGCTAATTTTTGTATTTTTAGTAGAGGTGGGGTTTCACTATGTTGGCCAGGCTGGTCTTGAACTCCTGACTTTGTGATCCACCTGCCTTGGCCTCCCAAAGTGTTGTGATTACAGGCGTGAGCCATCACGCCTGGCCTTTTTTTTTTTTTGAAATGGAGTCTCGCTCTGTTGTCCAGGCTGGAGTGCAATGGCGAGTTCTCAGCTCACTGCAACCTCTGCCTGCCGGGTTCAAGAGATTCTCCTGCCTCAGCCTCCTGAGTAGCTGGGATTACAGGCACCTGCCACCACACCCAGCTAATTTTTTGTATATTTAGTAGAGACAGGGTTTCACCATATTGGCCAGGCTGGTCTCGAACTCCTGACCTCAGGTGATCCGCCCACCTTGGCCTCTCAAAGTGCTGGGATTACAGGTGAGCCACTGCCCCCAGTCTAGTTGTTGCATTTTTAAGAGAAAATATTTTGACTTTAGTATTGCTAACGCGGTAAAGAGTCCTGAACGCTCTCATAAATTCATGTAAATTAGGATTGTAGGTCTTATAAGGCCAGATAGGACCTCAAAAATCATCTAGTCTCACCCATTCCATATTTTACAAATGAGGAAACTGATGTGACCTGCCAAGGTCATCACTTAGCTGGTGGTGGAACAAAGGGTATTGCAGGAGGTTCTTGATTCTTAGTGACATTCTCTTTAACTTCTTTTGGCTTATGATTTAAAAATTAAGTACTTCATAAAGTGT
Organism: Homo sapiens; assembly: GCF_000001405.40. Classification (NCBI taxonomy): domain Eukaryota; kingdom Metazoa; phylum Chordata; class Mammalia; order Primates; family Hominidae; genus Homo; species Homo sapiens. Next base: position 18,302,613 of record NC_000006.12, read on the forward strand.
TGTGTATTCAATCAGAGGGGGTCAATATTCAGTTTTTTATGTTTCAGAAATAGAGGGTATGGTAGCTACGCTGTTCTCCGAATATGTTCTGGCTTTCTGTCTTCTTGTTTTTTGAGGGTCGAGGTCTCACTCTGTTGCCCAGGCTGGAGTGCGGTGGAGCAATCATAGCTCACTGCAGCCTTGAACTCGGGCTCAAGCCATGCCTGGCTAATTTTTAAATTTTTGTAGAGACAGGGGTCTTGCTGTGTTGCCTGGGCTAATCTCAAAGTCCTGGCCTCAAGCAATCTTCCTGCCTCGGCCTCCCAAAGAGCTGTGGTTACAGGCGTGAGCCCCTACACCCAGCCACTGCTTTCTAGTATTGCATTTAGTGACCCCATGTGGTTGGATGGGATGTTGTGATCAGTTTGACCAATGATTTGCAAGCAGAATTGTATGTCACCTCTAATTTTTTTTTTTATTTTTTAAATTGACAAATAAAAATTATATGTAGTTATGGTGTACAACATGACATTTTGATATATGTATATATTGTGGGATGGCTAAATCAAGGTAATTAATGTATACTGAGGAGGGGTTCTTAATCCATGAAGCTTTCTGGGGATCTGTCTCTGAGTGTTTACTTGCAGCAGCATCCCTGTTGAGCCAGGACGGACATTTGGCATGAATGAGAAAGCCCTTTTTGTTTTAAGTCACTGGGATTTTGGGGTTATTTGTAACCTCAGATTACAAACCTGTAAAGAGTGTTTTCTTAAAAGGAAGCCAATGCTTCTAATTTAGGCTGTGGCATTAGAGGGAAATGAATTTAGGCAACACATCTGGCAATTTAGGGCAAAAAAAGTGATAATGAAAATTTTTTGGTTATTGAGGGTATTTTTTTTTTTGAGGAGGGAATGTTTCTGTGCTATTATCTTTATTCTCCACTTCAGTTTTTTTTTTTTAAATCTCCTGTGGTAGTAAACTATGCATGGAATTACTGTCAAAATCAATCTCAAAATTAAAATTACAACCAGGATTCAGTAAATTAAACTAAGAGTCGAGGAATCTGGGTCCTGGTTTTCATCTTGCCACTGCATGACCTTCAATCTATCTGGGTCTCAGGACACTCTCTTATCTATAAATAGGTGTTGAAACAAATCATCTTGAATATCTTTCTAGCTCTGTTAATCTGTAATTCCAGGAAATCAAAGTAACATGCTGCTAGCTATTTTAGGTTAGGGATCTTAAACACAATTTTAAAATATAAGAACTAGGCCTAAAGGTATCTTGGTATAACAATTTAAAGAGTAATGAATACTCGGATTCATCTGAAACTTGAACTGCCCTGAAACATGATATTTCGTACTTTCATGGTCCTATTTCTTCAGTGAGTACTAGCCATGATTTTTAAAATGTACTTTTACTGGGCACGGTGGCTTACACCTGTAATCCCAGCATTTTGGGAGGCCGAGGCGGGCGGTCGTGAGATCAGGAGATCAAGACCATCCTGGCTAACACGGTGAAACCCTGTTTCTACTAAAAATACAAAAATTCCCCAGGCATGATGACATGTGCCTGTAGTCCCAGCTACTCAGGAGGCTGAGGCAGGAGAATTGCTTGAACCCGGAGGCGGAGGTTGCAGTGAGCCGAGATCACGTCACTGCACTGCAGCCTGGATGACAGAGTGAGACTCCATCTCAAAAAAAAAAAAATTACTTTCCAGGTTTTTCTGATATTTAAATGTATTTTTCTTGTATTTAAGAATGAATTATTTCTTTTTAGTATTCAGAAAATGTTTCCCAAGGATGTCGTGGAACTGTGCCTGTTTTGTTTAACTTGCTTTTTTAGTCTCACCAACATTTCTTGTAGAGATGTGGATGAGATTTTTCAACTTTATCTAAACTTACCTTACTCTTCCTGAGTTCTAAGACTTTGGAAAAATATTGACAGGCTCAACATTAGCCTCTCTCTCTTTTTTTTCTTTTGAGACAGAGTCTCACTCTGTCACCCAGGCTGGAGTACAGTGGCACCATCATGGCTCACTGAAGGCTTGACCTTCCAAGCTCAAGTAATCCTTCCACCTTAGCCTCCAGAGTAGCTGGGACTACAGGTGCATGCTACCACACCCAGCTAATTTTTTGTATTTTTTGTAGAGATGAGTTTTTGCCATGTTGCCCAGGCTGGTCTCAAACTCCTGGATTCAAGCAATCCACCGGCCCCTGCCTCCCAAAGTACTGGGATTACAGGCGTAAGCCACTGTGCCTGGCTAGCCTCTTTTTTTGATGGAAGTGCAAAAATGGCTGCATTTAAAGGTTCAGCTATCAAATATTTCGGAATGTTTTGTTTGCAAGTCAATTTTGGCTAGAAGGCTCAAGTGACAAAACCATTAGGATCAATTGTCACATGTCCTAATGGTAAAAGTGGTATCACTGGTTTCTTGCTCTGGCTTTTTGACTTCTGTCTTCTTAGAACCAAAAGTAAGCTGGCCACAGAGCCACAAAGCCATAGCCCCTGGCCGAAAGGTGCCCATCTTAATTATTTTAATTTCATTGTTAACAAATTGGTAAAGGGACTAGATGATCTATGAAAGCCAGTCCAGTTGTTTGACTTTTTGTAAACACTCTTCTGGATTGTTCATTTTTTACTTATTAATTTTTTACACTGCAGTTCACTACTAGAGTTAGTGTTGTAGCATCATACTCTTTATCAGAGATATTACATGATGAGGAAAGTTGCTCATAATGATTGTCATTAATCTTGGTTGTAAAGTATACTTTTCACAGAATCAGAAACTGCCTGAAAATATAAACCTATTCAATTATACTGAGCCTTGTTTTAAATCAATGGCAAATAAAATGCTCTTTATATAAAATTCAATTTTTTTTTTTTTTTGAGATGGAGTCTCGCTCTGTCACCCAGGCTGGAGTGCAGTGGCGCGATCTCGGCTCACTGCAAGCTCCGCCTCCTAGGTTAAAGTGATGCTCCTGCCTCAGCCTCCCGAGTAGCTGGGACTACAGCCGTGTGCCACCACGCCCGGCTAATTTTTTGTATTTTTAGTAGAGACGGGGTTTCACTGTGTTAGCCAGGATGGTCTCGATATCCTGACCTCGTGATCCACCCGCCTCGGTCTCCCAAAGTGCTGGGATTACAGGCATGAGCCACTGTGCCCGGCCTATAAAATTTAATTTTTAAGAAAGCAGAGGTGTGACGTTTTGACTGGTGTTACTTATTTTGCATTCCTTTTTTTATTCTTGTTTTTTTCTTTTGAGATGGATGGAGTCTCGCTCTTGTTACCCAGGCTGGAGTGCAATGGTGCAATCTCAGCTCACTGCAACCTCTGCCTCCAGGGTTCAACCGATTCTTCTGCCTTAGCTGGGATTACAGGTGCCTGCCACCATGCCCAGCTAATTCTTTACAATTTTAGTAGGCACAGGGTTTCACCATATTGGCTAGGCTGTTCTTGAACTCCTGACCTCAGGTGATCCACTCACCTCGGCCTCCCAAAGTGCTGGGATTACAGGCGTGAGCCACTGGCCTATTTTGCATTCCTAAAACATTATTTTCATTTTCTGCTTCATCTGAATCTTCATCCACCCCGCCCCCAACCCCTTTTTTTAAGAGGCAGATTCTTGCTCTGTCACCCAGGCTGGAGTGTAGTGGTGCCATCATAGCTCACTGTAGCCTTGAACTCCTGGGCTCAAGGGATCCTCCTGCCTCAGCCTTCCAGGTAGTTGGGACTGCAGGTGCATGCCACCACACCTGGCCAATTTTTTTTTTTTTTTTGCATTTTTTGTAGAGATGAGGTTTTGCTATGCTGCCCAGGCTGCTATCAAACTCCTGGCCTCAAGCGAGCCTCCCACCCTGGCCTCCCAAAGCTCTGAGATAACAGGTGTGAGCTACCACACTCAGTCAGAATCTTAAATGCAAAGGCAGTTTTAATGGTCTTACCCAAAGAAATAAAAACCTAACATGAATACAAACATTACTCAGTCATAGGAATTCTTATTAAAAATCCTATGTACAAAAGCACTATTCAGTGCCTTAAAAAGCTGGAAATGGTTATCTTAGAGATATAATCTTATCAACTTAGACTAGTAATCCTCCCTGCTCTTAAATATTGGCTAATATATTCAAATTATTTATTTCCGTAGGTTTTTGGAGAACAGGTGGTATTTGGTTACATGAGTAAGTTCTTTAGTTATGATTTGTGAGATATTGGTGCACCCATCACCTGAGCAGTATACAGTGAACCCAATTTGTAGTCTTTTATCCCTCACTCCACCCCCACCCTTTCCCCTGAGTCCCCAGAGTCCATTGTATCATTCTTATGCCTTTGCATTTTCCTAGCTCAGCTCCTACTTATGCCTGAGAATGCTCAATCTTTGGAAATATGGAATCCTTCACAAATTTGCGTGTCATCCTTGCGCAGGGGCCATGCTAATCTCCTCTGTATTGTTCCAATTTTAGTATGTGTGCTGCTGAAGCAAGCATGCTAGTGTAGTATAGTGCAGTGTTGGAGAAGATGATTCAGAATCTCCAGATTTCAGTTGACTTTGAAGAATGCACAAACCCCCAAGGCCAAGGTAATGTGCTGGAAGCTTTCTGTGTATTTGCTAACCATGATCTTGGGGTCTCTGGATAGGTATGAGAGGAATGTGGGGTGAGGTATTTGGCTGACTCATCTATGCCACCACACTCAGACAGCACTCAACTGAGCTAAACCAGAATCTGCATGTCACAACTTGGGTGTCTTAATTGCCAAGGAGTGTGAATGGGGTGGAATGCAATAATGGAGGATGCCCTGAAAAATGGTCCGATTTGATGGTATGCGAGATATGTGCATTTTGCATGATTATTTTCAGCAGAACACTTGCTACTTTAGACATTTATTTTTAGCCTTCTGAAAGCTAGTAATGTTGTTTGCTTGATTTGTTATATTCATTTTTCAGACTATTATTCAGGTTCAGTGAATAATATTAAGAAAATCCTAATAATTATATTATTCTGGGCTTTTAGTTAATAGACCCATAAGATTTCTCTTAGCTCAGCAACTACTCACAAAGGGAATCAACTATATTCTTATAGTACTCTACATCTGAGGTAAGTGCAGGTATTTTTCATTCACATTTGGGAGTTTTGTTTGTTTGTTTGTTTTGTTTTTTTTTGAGATAGAGTCTCGCTCTGTCACCAGACTGGAGTGCAGTGGTGTGATCTCGGCTCACTGCAACCTCTGCCTCCCAGGTTCAAGTGATTCCTCTGCCTCAGCCTCCTGAGTAGCTGGGACTATAGGCGTGCACCACCATGCCTGGCTAATTTTTTGTATTTTAGTAGAGACGGGGTTTCACCATGTTGGCCAGGATGGTCTCGATCTCCTGACCTCATGATCTGCCCCCTTTAGCCTCCCAAAGTGTTGGGATTACAGGCGTGACCCACCACACCTGGCCTGGGAGGTTTTACAACATGTTTAAGTAACTGTACCTAGCGCACCCTAAGGGAATGTTGCTAATAATAGGTCTGATGTTTGGGGAAAAGTGTTTGAGCTCATCAAAATAAAAGCAAATAAAAGAACAAGGAAACAATAATTCTTGTGTAAGTGTTCTGTTAACTTGTCTATGTTGGGCTCAGATGGGAAAAGCAAGCCACTTCTCCTGGCTGAATGCTGGCTGCCAGCTTGCATCTGCCGCTGCTGCTAAGTGTCAGTTATGCAGAGCCCCTGACCCCTTTCCATTTTCAGAACAAGAATAGAACTAATTGTAGCATCAGGATGCAATGCATTCCAAAATATATTTCCTCTGAAGCAGTAATCTCTTCCACATCCTGCAAAGCAACTGAGAAGGACATTTTTTTTTTTTTTTTTTGTCACTGAGAATATTTTTGACATTGGATTTGAAATTCTAAACCTCAAATGAGCTGGAAAAAATAATTCAAAGAATCCAATTTGTATATACTTCAAATATTTTAATAATGAATCCATGAGACCATCTACATTCTTTTGCTGTGGTGAAATTGTGCTGTGGTAACTTGCACTTAAAATAAGAAAACCAGTTTTAGAGCGCATTTCCTCATGATGGTAGATGCCATAATGGTGTTGGATCGGCCCAAATCACAAACTTGGTAAAGTTTGCATCTTTCTCTCTTTCTTTCTTCCTTTCTTCCTTCCTTCCTTCCTCCCTTCCTCCCTCCCTTCCTTCCTTCCCTCCCTCCTTCCTTCCTTCCTCTCTCCTTCTCTTTCTTCCCTCCCTCCCTCCCTGCTTCTTTCCTTCCTTCCTCTCTCTCTCCTTCTCTCTTTTTTCCTTCCTTCCCTCCCTCCCTCCTTCTTTCCTTCCTTCCTTCCTCTCTCTCTCTTCCCTTCCTTCCTTCTTTCCTTCCTTCCTTCCTTCCTTCTTCCCTCCCCTCCCCTCCCCGCACCTCTTTTCTTTCTCTTTCTTTCTGATATAGTCTTGCTCTGTCACCTGGGCTGCAATGCAGTGGTGTTGCGATCACGGCTCACTGCAGCCTTGACCCCTTGGGCTCAAGCAATCCTTCTGCCTCAGCCTCCCAAGTAGTTGAGACTACAGTTGCATGCCACCACGCTTGGGTAATTTGTTTTTGTAGAGATGGTGTCTCACTATGTTGTCCAGACTGGTCTTGAATTCCTGGACTTATGCAATCCTTCCAACTTAGTCTCCCAAAGTTCTGGAATTACAGGTGTGAACCACTGCCCCTGGGGCATCTCTTTTCTTCATTATATTTGTTCTTTAAGTTTCTCTCCTGCTCAGAAACCCTTACCCTCATTCCGATCAACTTCCAGTATTGGACAAAGTTCTTCCTTAACCACATTAAAAAATCTGATCTCGAAATACCTGTATCCCCATGTTTATGGCAGCACTATTCACAGTAGCCAAGATATGGAATCAACCTAAGTGTCCATCACCAGATGAATGGATAAATAAAATGTGGTGTATATACACACAATGGAATACTATTCAGCCATAAAAAAGAACAAAATCCTATAATTCATGGCAACATGGATAAGCCTGGAGGACATTATGAGTGAAATAAGCCAGGCACAGAAAGACAAACACTGCATGTTTTTACTTATATATGGAAGGTTAAAAAGTTGATCTCATAGAAGTAGAGGGTAGAATAGTCATTAATAGAGGCTGGGAAGGGGAGTGGGGAAGAGGGAGAGCGGTTGGTTAACAGTTATAAAATCATCAGGCCAGATGTGGTGGCACATGCCTGTAATCCCAGCACTCTGGGGGGCTGAGGCAGGAGGATCACTGAAGCCCAGGAGTTTGAGATCAGCTTGGGCAAGATGGCAAAACCCTGTCTCTATTAAAAAATAAATAAATAAGTAAATGCTGAGACCAGTTCAGTCGTGGAGATCCTAACCCAGTGGCGCTAGAGGAATTAAAGACACACACACACACAGAAATATAGAGTATGTTGTGGGAAATCAGGGGTCTTACTGCCTTCAGAGCTGAGATCCTTGAACAGGGATTTACCCACATATTTATTGACAGTAAGCCAGTGATAAGCATTATTTCTATAGATTGTAGATTAACCAAAAGTATTCCTTACGGGAAACAAAGGGATGGGCCGAAATAAAGGGATGGGTCTGGCTAGCTATCTGCAGCAGGAACATGTCCTTAAGGCACAGATCCCTCATGCTATTGTTTGTGGTTTAAGAATGCCTTTAAGCGGTTTTCCAGTTTTCCGCCCTGGGTGGGCCAGGTGTTCTTTGCCCTCATTCCGGTAAACCGACAACCTTCCAGCGTGGGCATCATGGCTATTACGAGCATGTCACAGTGCTGCAGAGATTTTGTTTATGGCCAGTTTTGGGGCCAGTTTATGGCCAGATTGGGGGCCTGTTCCCAACGAGTAAGTAAAAATAAAAACAAAACAACTGATAGGAGGAATGAGTTCTAGTGTTCTATCAGCACTGTAGGATGACTACAGTTAAATTAACTTATTGTATATTTTAAAATGGCTAGAAGGGGCTGTGTGCAGTGGCTCACACCTGTAATCTCAACACTTTGGGTGGCTGAGGCAAGTGGATCACCTGAGGTCAGGAGTTCGAGGCCAGCCTGGTCAACATGGTAAAACCCTGTCTCTACTAAAAATACAAAAAATTAGCTGGGTGTGGTGGTGGGTGCTTGTAATCCCAGCTACTTCGGAGGCTAAGGCATGAGAATTACTTGAACCCAGGAGACAGGGATTGCAGTGAGCCAAGATCGCACTACTGCATTCCAGCCTGGGTGACAGAGTGAGACTCCATCTCAAAAAAAGTAAAATAAATAAATAAATAAAATAAAAATAAAACAGCTAGAAGAGAGGATTTTGAATATTTCCAACACAAAAAAATGATAAATGTTTGAGGTGAATATACTAATTACCCTGAATTGATCATTATAAAATTATAAATTGATAATTTATAATCAATCAATTTATATAAATTCAATCAATCAATTGAATTTATAATCAAAAATCACTGTACACCCCACAAATCTGTACAATTATGTGTCAGTTAAAAAAATAAAAAGGAAAAATAGCAATAATTACATGGGCAAATAGAGCTTGATAGGGCTGTAAAAAAATCTGATCTTCAGAGGAATGTAAAACTAATATACACAAAGGCATCATTAACCAATAATAATGAGTGGAAATAGGAAACCTCTAATTTTGATGCCCAGGACTAACTTCTTCTGACAATAGGAAAGTTTTTGTAGTTTCTGCAGGACTTGGAGCCACAAGACCTGAGTCTAAGTCCTGGCTTAGCAGCTCTCTCAGCACTTTATCTTTCTCAGCTTCAATTTATATCTATTACTTGGGGGCTGCCATGATTCTACGAGATGGCATGTGTTGAAGTGTTTTATAAAACATGAAGCCGGCCGGGCACGGTGGCTCACACCTGTAATCCCAGCACTTTGGGAGGCCGAGGTGGATGGATCACAAGGTCAGGAGATCAAGACCATCCTGGCTAACACAGTGAAACCTCGTCTCTGCTAAAAATACAAAAAATTAGCCGGGTGTGGTGGCGGGTACCTGTAGTCCCAGCCATTCGGGAGGCTGAGGCAGGAGAATGGCGTGAACCCGAGAGGCGGAGCTTGCAGGGAGCCGAGATCGTGCCACTGCACTCCAGCCTGGGGGACAGAGTGAGACTCTGTCTCAAAAAAAAAAAAAAAAAAAAGAAAAGAAAGAAAACATGAAGCACCCTCACTCCGCAGTGTTTTTAAAAATTGCTTTAAAATCATGCAAGGAACAGCAACTAGGAAGTCAGAGGCCCAGAGTTTAGTACTGCTTTGCTACTCCCTAACCTCAGAGACCTCAGAAAAATCTTCTAACCATACCAGGCCTGTTTCTTTGTCATAAAAACCTCCAGGTTAAACCAGAATATCTCTAAATTTCCTTTCAACATGAGGCATTTTATAGTGTCATGAATTCAAATTGTTTGCAAAGAAAACACTATGACATCTAGTTCCAAGAACACAGAAGGTGGCATGAGTTTGAACTAGGAGGTCAGTAGAGGGATAAAAGAGATGGTCATAGTGGAGGAACTGGGGTTATCCTCCCAGAAGAGGCTGATGCGAGCTATAGAACAAGAGGTCTGTGTGGCAGGATGCCTAGTAAGAAGGTTGGGATGGGTTCATGGCTTTGGGGTAAAAGGTTGCAGGAATTTGGGAGCTGAATGAACAGGGATTATTAGGCGTTTGCGGAGGTGCAATGTTGTCCTGTGGGTAGCATATAATGCTGCAGGGATTTTGGTGGTCAGCAATGCAGGGGTGAAAGTGGCAGGAGGAGGGAGTGAATGACAATGACAGTGAAGACAAAGACTACCTTCTAACCTTTTCTCTCTCTTGAATCCACTGGGCAGTGAGAGTGATCAAGTTAAAGTGTAAATCCCATGACTTCTCTCCCCTGCTTAAAATCTTTTCATGGCTTTCCTTGTATTGAGATTATGCAAATTCCTTATCATTGGCTTTCAGGTCCCCAAGGGATTTGGCACTTGCCTATCTCTCCAACCACCTCCAACCCTCTGTTTCCATTCCACCTCTTCCTGAATTCCAGCAACACTGAGCAGCTTGAAGTCACCAAGGTATACCTGCAGTAGGGCTGTTTCTCTGTGGTTCTTTATAGGATTCACTGTGATTCTTGGGGAGTTTAGCTTAACTATTTCTTTAGACAAGCTTTCTCTGACCATGCTACATGTAGTACTCTCTTCCCATTGTCTAAGCCCTTTGTTTCTTAAACAGCCACAACCACAGTCTATAATTATTGTACTTTTTTTTTTTTTGAGGCGGAGTCTCGCTCTGTTGCCCAGGCTGGAATGTAGTGGCGGGACGTCAACTCACTGCAACCTCTGCCTCCTGGGTTCAAGCGATTCTCCTGCCTCAGCCTCCTGAGTAGCTGGGATTACAGACATGCACCACCATGCACGGCTAATTTTTGCATTTTTAGTAAAGATGGGGTTTCACCATATTGGTCAGGCTGGTCTTGAACTCCTGACCTCATGATCCACCTGTCTCGGCCTCCCAAAGTGCTGGGATTACAGGCGTGAACCACTGCACCCAGACGATATACTTGATCTTTTGTAGCTTTTGCTTCAGTTAACACATATGTATCATTGCTTTTCCCCCCTTTATCACACTCATCCCCCTTCCATACAGCTCAAATTTGAAACTAATGTGTGTTTTATTATTCACTGTATTTATTGAAGAGTTTTAAATCCTGTTCATCATTTTATTTTATTTTTTCTTTTTCTTTCCTTTTCCTTTTCCTTTTCTTTTCCTTTTTCTTTTCAGACAGAGTCTCACTCTGTCACCCAGGCTGGAGTGCAGTGGCGCAATCTCAACTCACTGCAATCTCTGCCTCCTGGGTTCAAGCAATTCTTCTGCCTCAGCCTCCCACGTAGCTAGGATTACAGGCATGTGCCACCATGCCTGGCTAATTTTTGTATTTTTAGTAGAGACAGGGTTTCACCATGTTGGCCAGGCTAGTCTCGAACTCCTGACCTCATGATCTGCCCGCCTTGGCCTCCCCAAGTGCTGGGATTACAGGCGTGAGCCACTGCGCAGGGCTTTACTTTTCTTTTTGAGATGGAGTTTCGCTCTTATTGCCCATGCTGGAGTGACTGCAGTGGTGTGATCTGGGCTCACTGAAACCTCTGCCTCCCGGGTTCAAGCAATTCTCCTGCCTCAGCCTCCCAAGTAGCTGGGATTACAAGGCCTGCCACCACGCCTGGCTAATTTTTTATATTTTTAGTAGAAATGGGGTTTCACCATGTTGGCCAAGCTGGTCTCAAACTCCTGACCTCCAGTGATCCCCCTGCCTTGGCCTCCCAAAATGCTGGGATTGCAGGTGTGAGCCACCGCGCCCGGCGTGTTCATAATTTTAAAGAGCAGTATTTTCAAAATTTAACAAAACCATGTTGCTCTTTCCTTTAAAAGACCTTTAATTAGTCAAGCCTGTGCATCCTTCCCAGGGAGCTTTTCCTGCCGTTGACATTGGTGGTATTCTTTTCTGCCTATGAGTTAGGCTGACCCTGCCTTTTTCAGGCATCATCCGGTATTTATCTTTGGTATAAAAAGTAACTGTTATTCTTGTCTTTCACTGCCAGCATTGCAGACTGGGCATTTAAATGCTTTGGATTGTGTGTTTGGAGAAGCTAACAGCTGCATGTGCTATTTCCAATACTCTTTAAGATCCACCCAGGACGTGACCATGGGAATGCTTATCATGTTTTTGGAGGGGAGAATCAATGTAAAATTGGTGAGTAATATACAGAGGTGAAAATTAGGTGAGAAATTCTTCAACAGATTGTAGGCTTGCCATCTGATATCTAGAAAAAACTGTATTCCTCTGAGCAGCTCTCAGAATGCTCATCTGCCTGAACTTGGGGGCAGCCACAGATAGGGAGTGCTTTGGAGGCTCAGTAAGTAACATCAGTATGTTTCCAAAACAAACAAGCAAGCAAACAAATCCCACTCTCTCCTGCCTTATGCATATATTGGGGAACAGCACAGTTGCATAGTCTGTAAATTACTAACCAACCAACCAAACACACAAAAAGAAAAGAAAAACCTTGATTTTTCTCTTTAAAAAGAAAACAAAAATTTGGATTAACTAGGGAGCAATGGGCAAAGTCTTCCCTTCATTGAAGCATTGAAATACACAGCTGAATTGTTTCTAGTTGTTTATATGCACCTCAAGCTCAATCAGAAATGATTCATCAACACTGTTTGGATTAGGCTGAGAAATCCTTGTTATATTTTAATAGGGCCAATTTCATGGCTTTTTCTCATGGCCAATTTCATGGCTTTTTCTCAAATGACTTGCAACCCAAAGTCTAACAGAATATAAAATATGAGATATTTCCATATTCTTTTCTGTTTTTTTTTTTTTGAGACAGAGTCTCCAGGTTGGAGTGCAGTGGCGGCATCTCGGCTCACTGCAACCTCTGCCTCCTGGGTTCAAGCGATTCTCATGCCTCAGCCTCTTGAGTAGCTGGGATTATAGGCATGGGCCACCACACCTGGCTAATTTTTGTATTTTTAGTAGACACAAGGTTTCACCATTTTGGCCAGGCTGATTTTGAACTCCTGATCTCACGTGTTCCACCCACCTCAGCCTACCAAAGTGCTGGGATTATAGGCGTGAGCCACTGCTCCCAGCTGGAATATAAAATCTCTATTTCTGTCCTTTTCATTTAATAATATTAAATTATTTTATATTGTAAAATTTTTGTTTGGGAAGGAGTGTTTAAATTAGAATTCTCTTCCTTGGCTATAAATACTTTAAAGCCCATCACTGCTAGACTTTGACCATTGTTTGTCTGTTTTGTTGTGAGGTGTGGGGTGGGCAGGCAGCATGGTGGTATTTACTTAACTACTGGATATGAGAAGATACTTTAGGCTTGGAAGGATGTAGCAGATGCTGTCAGTGTCCTGCCCACTTCCTTTAAGACCTTATCATTTCATTGTGCTTTAGAGTTCCAACTGGTAGTATCTGGAAATGCTGGGGAGTTCACACCAACCCCCAGAAGTCCTCAATCAGGAGCTGATGGGAGTTGGGGTATAATTACTCCAGATCCCCCATCCCTGGATGGAATGATCGTAAGGGCTATGTTTGCCTTCAGCGTTTTCTGCTGAAGTTAAATTCTAGCTTTGGCTTAACAACACATCCTTAATTAGCAATCTTCCCTTTCCTGCTCCCCTACCAGCCATCCCTTACCTCCCTAATGAACTATTTGCAATCATGTCTTTGTCTTAAGTCAAACCATATTAGGATTTGGGGGATATCTAAATCCAATACAAACCTCTTACTTTTAGGTAACATTTTATTTATTTATTTTTAATTTCAATAGTTTTTGAGGAACAGATGGTTTTTGGTTACATGGGTAAGTTTTTTAGTGGTAATTTCTGAGATTTTGGTGCACCCATCATCTGAACAGTGTACACTGTACCCAATGTGTAGTCTTTTATCTCTCACCTCCCTCTGTCTCTTTCTCCCCACCCCTGAGTCCCCAACATTTATTATATCATTTTTATTAGGTGACATTTTATTTATTTATTTATTTTTGAGACAGAATCTTGCTTTGTTGCCCAGGCAGTAGTGCAATGGCACGTTCTCGGCTCACTGCAACCTCTGCCTCCGAGGTTCAAGCGATTCTCCTTCCTCAGCCTCCCAAGTAGCTGGGACTGCAGGCACGCACCACCACGCCGAGCTAATTTTTATATTTTCAGTAGAGGCGGGGTTTTGCCACTTTGGTCAGGCTGCTCTTGAACTCCTGACCTCAGGTGATCCACCTGCCTCTATCTCCCAAAGTGCTGGGATTACAGGCAGGAGCCACCACACTTGGCCTAGGTAACATTTTAATCTATTATCCTAGGTAGATACATCCTTAGAGTAATCTACTTAACAGGTACTTTATATATTTTCACTATCTGCTAGCATATATTGCTAATTGTCTACTAAATAATGACTTTCTTTTTGAAGGGAAACCTTTTGTACATATAAGATGTAACTGAAATGATTAAGATAGAATGAAAGCATTGGAAAAATAAGTACCTAGGTTAAACACAATGGTATTTTAAGAGTTTACCTGTACAGTGGTTCACACCTGTAATCCCAGCACTGTGGAAGGCCGAGGCAGGTGGATTGCTTGAGCCCAGAAGTTTGAGACCAGCCTGGGCAACATGGTGAAACCCCATTCTACAAAAAATACAAAAATTAGCTGGGCATGGTGGTGCGTACCTGTAGTCCCAGCTACTTACGGGGCTGAGGTGGGAGGATCACTTGAGCCTGGGAGTTCGAGGCTGCAGTGAGCTATGATCATGCCACTGCACTCCAGCCTGGGTGACAGAGTGAGACCCTGTCAAAAAAAAAAAGGCCAGGTGTGGTGGCTCATGCCTGTAATCCCAGCACTTTGGGAGGCTGAGGTGGGTGGATCACAGGGTCAGGAGATTGAGACCATCCTGGCTAACATGGTGAAACCCCGTCTCTACTAAAAATACAAAAATTAGCTGGGCATGGTGGCACGCACCTGTAGTCCCAGCTACACGGAAGGCAGGAGAGTTCCTTGAACCCGGGAGGCAGAGCTTGCAGTGAGCCAAGGTCATGCCACTGCACTCCAGCCTGGGCAAAAGAGCGAGACTCCATCTCAAAAAAAAAAAAGAGTTCATAGTCTCAATAGTGACACTTAAAGACAGAGAGGAATATGTACCAAGTGCTAAATATAGCACAAAACTTATACTTTTATTGTTACATTTCATAGCTTAGTCTATATTATAGGATAGCCAGAGACAATTTGTAATTTTAATGATGCTAAGGTCTGAGGTCAAATACCATTTAATTCACATTAATGCAAGAGCTATACATTATGGTCTGCCCCTTGAGTGTCTAGGATACCATTTAAAACAACAACACAAAAAGGTTTTCCAGAACTGGAGATTACACATACAAAAGACACATGTAGTTTGAAAGACATGGGGTAAGCGTGACTCTCTTAGGTATGAGGGTCATTCATTGCTTGGGTTTAGAGCTATCAACCTAAAATAACCAAAAGGGTCAGAGTTCAAAGAGAGTTTATTCAAGTGCAGACTTTGAGATGACCACTCAACCATCTAGGATGCACATATTCCAAAGAATGGAAGCCAGTGTTCTGAAGTGTAGAATCATGGGACCCTTTATACAGACATAGATTAAGGAAGCTTAACAGAATTTCATGATCTTTCTATATAAGGATTAATGCATAGTTACAATGATCTGATGAATTGAGGTTGTCTTTTTCTTTCAAGAAAGGTATATTTAACAATCCATGCTGAAGATTTTGCATCATCTGAGTTGAATTAGGTGAAGGACAATAAAGGAGGCAGTTAATCTGGAACAAAGATCAGTGATTGGAAGAGGAAGAAGTCTTGTCTCTGGTCCTTTCTGGTCATTTACAGAACAAGAACAATGAGGAAGAGACTTGATTTAATTTAAGAAGCAGAAGTTACAACTACATGCTATGTGACTCAGATCACAGTCACATCTCTCTCAAGGTGTTTTCTGGGTTCTGGCAGCTTTTAAATTTTACTTATTTTCACATAGCTATAGTCTGCCCTCCAAAATGTGCTAGCTGTCCTGAAAATGCACATCCTTGGCCACATGGGTGATGGGGTCAGAGGTCACGATGGACCTGCATTCATGGTTCTTTTTTTAAAATTTTATTTATTTATTTATTTATTGAGACGGAGTTTCACTCTGTCGCCCAGGCTGGAGTGCAGTGGCGCGATCTCGGCTACTGCAAGCTCCGCTTCCCGGGTTCACGCCATTCTCCTGCCTCAGCCTCCTGAGTAGCTGGGACTACAGGCGCCCACCACCACGTCTGTCTAATTTTTTTTATTTTTAGTAGAGGTGGGGTTTCACTGTGTTAGTCAGGATGGTCTTGATCTCCTGACCTCATGATCCGTCCGCCTCGGCCTCCCAAAGTGCTGGGATTATAGGCATGAGCCACCGTGCCCAGCCAAATTTGTAGTTCTTAACTGGAAGTGCATTCCACCTTTGGTGGGCCAGTAGTATGTCCTGTTGATGTAGGGAAAGATGCAGAAAAAAATGGTGAGTGGGGAGTATGGGCTGAGACTGGAGACATTCTTGTTCTGCACTTATTGTCATCAGGTGGAGTTTTCTGTGAAATGAAGATGCTAATAACGACCTTTCAGAGTGGTTGTAGAGAGTAAATTGATTCAAGCACAGTGCCTCATAAATAGTAAGCTCTTAAGATATGGTAGCTCTTTTTTCTTCTTTTTTTTTTTTTTTTGAGACAGAGTTTCACTCTGTTGCACAGGCTGGAGTGCAGTGGTGCGATCGTGGCTCCCCGCAACCTCTGCCTCCCCGGTTCAAGTGATTTTCCTGCCTCAGCCTCCCGAGTAGCTGGGCCTATAGGCGCATGCCACCATGCCTGGTTAACTTTGGTATTTTTAGTAGAGATGGGGTTTCACCATGTTGGCGAAGCTGGTCTTGAACTCCGTATCTCAAGTGATCCGCCTGTCTTGGCCTCCCAAAATGCTGAGATTACAGGTGTGAGCCACCATGCCCTACCTGGTAGCTCTTATTAGGGTAATTTATTTTCCAAACCAGTACACTTAGGAAACGAAAAAGGGTACTAAAATAATACATACAATATAATTTACATATGTTTGAATATAATTTCTAAATTATTTATATATTGGATGATAAATTAGTTTTATTATATGCATAGGCCAATAAAGTAGTTCTATTTAAAAACTTTTGAAAATGAAATTCTTTCATTTTTGTTTTAAATTTTTTTTTTTTTTTTGAGATGCAGTTTTGCTTTTGTTGCCCAGGCTGGAGTGCAATGGCTCAATCTCGGCTCACCGCAACCTCCGCCTCCTGGGTTCAAGCGATTCTCCTGCCTCAGCCTCCCGGGTAGCTGGGATTACAAGCATGGGCCACCATGCCCAGCTAATTTTTTTGTATTTTTAGTAGGGACGGGGTTGCTCCTTGTTGGTAAGGCTGGTCTCGAACTCCCCACCTCAGGTGATCTGCCCGCCTCAGCCTCCCAAATTGCTGGGATTACAGGCATGAGCCACTGCACCGGGACGAAAATGAAATTCTAAAAAGTAACAACTATCTATGTATATTAAAGCAAAATTAAAAAAATCTTTAGTCTTATCAGAATGATGAAAATAACGTAAGTGGTATGATTATTTTTGTTACATAGTACATGCTTAATCAGTTTCTTAGTCTTTTTTTTTGGAGACAGAGTTTCGCTCTTGTTGCCTAGGCTGGAGTGCAATGGTGCAATCTTGGCCCACCGCAACTTCTGCCTTCCGGGTTCAAGTGATTCTCCTGCCTCAGTCTCCCGAGTAGCTGGGATTACAGGCATGCGCCACCATGCCTGGCTAATTTTGTATTTTTGGTAGAGATGGGGTTTCTCCATGTTGCTCCAGCTGCTCTCGAACTCCCGACCTCAGGTGATTCGCCCGCCTCGGCCTCCCAAAGTGCTGGGATTACAGGCGTGAACCACCGCACCCGGCCTTTAGTCTTATCTGTCTCAAATATCATGTCATTTTTCTGACACCGGCATTTTTTGGAAGAATGCATTTTTTTCTTTTTTTTTTCCCAAGACAGAGTCTTGCTGTGTTACTCAGTCTGGAGTACAGTGGTGCAATCTTGGCTCACTGCAAACTCCACCTTCCAGATCCAAAGGATTTTCATGCCTCAGCCTCCCGAGTAGCTGGAATTACAGGCATGTGCCACCACACCCAGCTAATTTTTGTATTTTTAGTAGAGACAGGGTTTTGCCATATTGGCCAGACTGGTCTCGAACTCCTGGCCCCAAGTAATTCACCTGCCTTGGCCTCCAAAAGTGCTGGGATTACAGGTGTGAGCCACCACGCCTGGCCAATACTGCTTTTTTTGTAAAATAGACTTATTTTTAACTTCTCATAATACCTGGATCTTTTTTGAGGTTATACTGCATGTGAATAAAATTGAGGTTGACTCTTCTTCTCTGTAAATCATAATTTACTTGAGAAATGTAATCTCTCTAGAAGAGCTAAGTTATCTGGTAAAAATGGAGTGAATTCTGCTCAATGGGAAGTGTTCTTAATTCTAATTTTTTTTGTGTTAAAATGTATAAATAATTGGCTGAAATATACTTCCTGATTACTGTTCTTTTTGCTTCCATTCAGAGTACTTTTCTTTGCTTTTACAAATATTTTTGGAAGACAAATGTCATCACATAAATTATCTCCATTTATGATAATTCTGATGTTTCCCCAAACTGAGATGCCATAAATTCATAGGCCTTCTTAATTTTGTTCCATTCCAGTGGACAACATAAAAGTTTCTCTCCATATGTAGAAATATTCCAAAGAACAATTATAGAATCTCAAAACTAAATCTTGGACAGGATCTGAGGGCAATTCATTTATTTCCTATAACTCTGTTGCTGTAGATCGGATGTTTCAGTGTCTTCCTCTTTGCAAGTTTGGTTTTTAATAGTTGTAATTACCGAAAAACTGAAGTTTGTTTTTTGATGCTCCTTGAATTCTTTGATTAAAATTTCTAACTGATATTGAACAAAATGCACCCTAAATCTAGAGGACTAATTATGAAAAAGTTCAATATCATTGGTCAGACACAGGCTGATTTACTAAATAGTTCCAATGGATGATGGGTAGCAGAGAGGAAATAAAGTTCAGTACTGCCATGCTGAGGTGTTTTGTTTTTTTTGTTTTGCAATCAACATCAACTTATCAACTTTATTAAAAAATTTTGTAGTTTAATAAGTTGGCATCTTCAAAATTTGTAAATTTTTACAAATATGGTTTCATTGCAGTTGATACAATAATGCAACTTCTTTGGAGAAATTATGACTTCATTTACACTGTAACCAACTCCAGCTGTAGTTCTGCATCTTTAAAATTAGATGCCTTAATTTTTTTTTTTTTTTTTGAGATGAAGTCTCGCTCTCGCCCAGGCTGGAGTGCAGTGGCACGATCTCGGGCTCACTGCAAGCTCCGCCTCCCGAGTTCACGCCATTCTCCTGCCTCAGCATCCCGAGTAGCTGGGACTACAGGCGCCTGCCAACACGCCCAACTAATTTTTTGTATTTTTAGTAGAGACGGGGTTTCACCGTGTTAGCCAGGATGGTCTCGATCTCCTGACCTCATGATCCACCCGTCTTGGCTCCCAAAGTGCTGGGATTACAGGCGTGAGCCACCGTGCCTGGCCTAGATGCCTTAATTTAAGAAGATTTTTTTTCCCCCCAAGACAGAGTCTTGCTCTGTTGCCCAGGCTGGAGTGCAATGGCATGATCTCGGCTCACTGCAACTTCTGCCTCCTGGGTTCAAGCAATTCTCCTGCCTCAGCCTCCCGAATAGCCGGGATTACAGGCATGCACCACCACACCCAGCTAATTTTTTTTCAGTACTTTTAATAGAGACGGGGTTTCGCCATGTTTGCCAGGCTGGTCTCGAACTCCTGACCTCATGATCCGCCTGCCTTGGCCTCCCAAAGTGCTGGGATTACAGGCGTGAGCCATTGTGCCTGGACAAGATATTGTTTTTACCATGACATCATGTTCCACCAAAATGTTTATATAGATTATCACTGCAAAAACAAATACTTTTACCTTAAATATTGAAAATTTAAATTTATAGTGAGTCATAATTATGTCAGATATGTTTCATCTTAAACAGACTACAATTCCAAAAGCTTTACATTGATTCCATGAATTAGATAAAAAAATTAAACCATTATTGGAATTAATTTAATTGATCTTTCTAGGTGAAGCCTTAGTAACACTGATATAAAATTAGCAACAGTGAAATTTTTATAAAATTCTTCTATCAATCTTAACACATTATAGCTTTTGCTTCACTTTTCGTGCATGAACACAAAAACATGAAATAAAAATTGGCAAAGTCAGTGTAGGAGAATAATTACTGGATCTAAATGTCATGTGAGCACCTTACACAGCTGTGTGTAATAACTTGTAAACTTTAAGTACAGGGTTCCCAAAATAGCTACTAATTTTATTTTTCTTTTAAAAATAGAAACAATCTTGCTTTGTTGCCCAGGCTGGAGTGCTATGGTACAATCATAGCTCACTGCAGCCTCAAACTCCTGGGCTCAAGAGATCCTCCCATGTCAGCCTCCCAGGTAGCTAGGATTACAGGTGTGTATCACTACACCTGGCTAGCATTTTTTTTTTTTTTTTTTTGCTGTAGAGATAAGGTCTTGCTATGTTGCCCAGGCTGGTCCTGAACTCCTGGCCTCAAGTGATCCTCCCACCTCAGACTCTTAAAATGCTGGGATTGCAGGTGTGACCCACTGCACCAGGCCACTGCTAATTTTTTATGTAGATTATAACACTTCAGGCCCACACCTGTAATCCTAGCACTTTGGGAGGCCAAGGCAGGTGGGTCACTTGAGGTCAGGAGTTCAAGACCAGCCTGGCCAATATGGTGAAACCCCATCTCTACTAAAAATACAAAAATTAGCTGGGCATGGTGGTGTGCGCCTGTAATCCCAACTACTTGGGAGGCTGAGGCAGGAGAATCAGTTGTACCTGGGAGGCGGAGGTTGCAGTGAACCGAGCTGAGATCACGCCACTGCACTCCATCCTGAGCGACAGAGCAAGACTCTGTCTCAAACAACAACAAAAACCCAAGAAAAGAAAAACAAAAAACTTCTTCAGATTTGTGTTTTAGGGTTTTCATTTGCTTCTGGATATCACTTTGTCCTCCATGGGTGTGGGGAGTGGCAAATGATGACATTTTATGCAATTTCACATTCATCAACTTACTTGAGGATAGAAAATTCCTCACTTAATATTTTACGAAGTGTAAACTTTCACTTTTATTTATTTACTTATAAAATAGAGATAGGGTTCTGCTATGTTGCCCAGGCTGGTCTCAAACCCCTTGGGTCAAACAATCTTCCTGCCTTGGCCTCCCAAGTGCTGGCATCACAGGTGTGAGTGATTGCACCTGGCCTAAACTTTCCCTTTTGAGCTTACTGTTGTTGAAAGATTTCTTGCAAAATAAAAAAGCACCACCAAACAATAACATAATACTTTTAGATGCACCTCATAGAAGAAATAACCAAATCATTTTGGTCAGATTGGTTTCTCTGTGTCCTAAGGCAGTACTTGCAGCCTCGTTTCCCTGTACATATTCCTCACACCCCTAACCTATGATTTCTCACATATCTCAGGGACCCCACCAGCTGTGCCTTGGTGGTTCTGTGCATTTTATAGACCTGAGCATGGGCCATGGCAGACCTAGTCGGTGAATCCCAAGGGTTCAGAGCAGCAGCTGTTGGAGAGCTCTCTTGCCACCATAAGTGCTATCCTTGGACAGAGTTGAACTTGGAGGCTCTTGTCTGAGGGTCTTTTTTTTTTTTTTTTTGGTAAGCAAGTGCCTTGCTGTTTTTGAAAGGGAAACGTGTTAGTTCCATTGCATGTGGAAAGGATTGGGGAAAATAGAAATGGGTCCACACTAGCCGCCTTACAGATTTAACCGCATGTGACATCTTGGCTTGTGTGTCATACAGTACTAGACAAGACCATGGTGGAAGCTGAAAACATAAAGGGCTACTAAACCAATCCTAGCTTATTTTAGTGCAAATATTAATGGTGACTCTCCATTAAAGTGAAACAATCCAGGAAAATGTTAAACCAGACAAAATAGCAGGATAATACGCCTAAACCAGGGCTGTCCAGGGCAGAAAAAGACCCTAGTTATAAGGATGGCACATTATCTCGGGAGTTTTTGCATAGGAACACTAGAGGGCGCTTTAGACTATAGTTAAGAATCCTGCTTTGATTTACAGAAGGAAACTTACTGTATCAGATTGATGTTATAAATTTCAGCAGTGGTTGGTTTATACATTGGTATTCCTAGAACATGGAAAAATGCAATACAAATGTTTTCGTGTTCCCCCTTCCCATGCTGGAGTGGTTACGATAATACTGTTTGTGTTTTACTTCAGATTAAAATCTTCAGAAGTGCCCTTTAGTTGTCAAAAGTGTCAAACACTGGGGATAAAAAGGTCACACACTGTTAGTGAGCAATGAAAATTTAGTATGATAAACTGATTCAGAAAACAACTTGCTTTGAATGTTCTTGATGTGCTAGGTATGTTTTCCTAAACCTTTTATGCAGGACACATTTAATTTTTTATTACAATTCTGTGAGATAGGCACGACTGTTATTTACTTTGTAGATGAGGAAGCCGAGGCACTCGGTGTTGAAAAGACTGCCCAGGGTCACATGTCTTGTGCATAGATAATGTGCTGTTAACCGTTGTACTGTGCAACTGTGCAACACAGTTGCATGGATAATAATTAGTGAATAATACCTCTATGAATGAATGAATAAATATTATGTTACATAGATACTAAGCATATGGGAAAGGAGTAGGGAAAATTGCACTTCATATTTTTTTCCTAGTGGCTGGTCCAATTATTTAATGAATCCCATTCCAG
The DNA here is from genome assembly GCF_000001405.40 of Homo sapiens. Taxonomy (NCBI): domain Eukaryota; kingdom Metazoa; phylum Chordata; class Mammalia; order Primates; family Hominidae; genus Homo; species Homo sapiens. The sequence continues at coordinate 18,325,072 of NC_000006.12, forward strand.
CTCTCAAGAGTCCAGTGGAGTCCACTCAGGGTTGGAAATGGATTTGTCTATGTTACATTATGGCTTACCTGAAAATAGTGAATGGGAGTTCACGGTCACTCAGTCATCCAACTCTTGAGAATCTGGCCTGGGGATGGAATAGAGGAGCATGAGGAACCAAGAGTGGGAGGAATGGGGTCCACTTTTGGAGAAAACAAGAAAAATGCAAGGAGGAAAAATTGCTTCAGCTCCCTGGCAGACTCGTTCTCTAAGACCGACTCAGGAGACGGTGGAGGCTCTCTCTGTGTCCCTCCAGGGGCTGCTCCAGGAACCAGGCTCCTTTGGGGTGACAAATACGTCCACCCCTAGTAGAACCAGAGAATATGAATAGATGCTGAAGTCCTAGGACTAAAACTGGTTTCAGTGAGGAATGGGGGAGGTCCTACTACAGGTTGGGGAGGAATGGATGAGATTGTCCCCCTATTTAAACATTTCTTTTGTTGTATTTTTTTATTATAGTAAAATATACATAATATAAAATTGACCATTTCACCAGTTTCACGTGTGCAATTCAGTGGCAATAAGTAATTCACAATGTGAATGACTTTTTTTTTTTTTTTTAAGACAAGATCTCACTCTGTTTCCTAGGCTGGAGTGCAGTGGCACTATCTTGGCTCACTGCAGCCTCCTCCTAGGCTCAAGTGATCCTGTCACTGCAGCCTCCTGAGTAGCTAGGATCATAGGTGTGTGCCACCATCCCTGGCTAATTTTTGTATTTTTTGTAGAGACAGAGTCCCACTATGTTGCCCAGGCTGGTCTTGAACTCCTGGGCTCAAACAGCTCTCCTGCCTCAGCCTCCCAGAGGTGCTGGGATTACAGGCACGAGCCTCCATGCCCAGCCTGTGAATTACTTTTTCATAATCACAAATAGCAACTCTCCATTTCCTCCTCTCCCCAACCTCTGGAAATCACCGTTCTACTTTCTGTCTCTAATGAATTTGACTACCCTAGGTACCTTGTTAAGTGGAATCATACAGTATTTGTCCTTTTGTGACTGGCTTATTTCATGTAGCCTAATGTCCTCCAGGTTCATCCATGTTGAAGCATGTGTCAGAACTTAATTTTTTGGTTAATGTTAGAAGACTGGAGAGGAGATGGAAGGACATGTTCGGGCTTGCACTCCTTGGGTGGCAGTGGGAGAAAGACAGTAGGTGTGGGATGCCTTTCTCCTGCCCTTCAGGAAATATCATGCTTCCTTCTAAGGCCATCAAGTGGTGTGATTGATCAGGCAACAGAAAACCAGCCTCCCATTCCCAAAACCTATCCCCCATTCCTTCTCCATACTGCCTAAAATACACAGACTTGGAGACTGGTTTGATTTAACAATGAGAGTGCATGGGGAATTGAGGTGGGGAGAAGATGCTGTCAATTATTTACTTTATTAAGTATTACTGTAATGTGAATTAGAATATCAGATCATTTTCCACCTCTGTCTACCCCAGTTGAACTAATGAAGCAGGAGTTATAGAGTTGGAGTGGAGAGTAGAGAAGGGATGCCATTTTGGGCACGTATATGACAGGCTCATACCACACAATGTGAGCCTCAGGAATCCGGGGAGAATGGGAGAGAGAAGTTTTTTTTTTTTTTTTTTTTTTGAGACGGAGTCTCACTCTTTCACCCAGGCCTGACTGCAGTGGCGCTATCTCGGCTCACTGCAAGCTCCGCCTCCTGGGTTCACGCCATTCTCCTGCCTCAGTCTCCCGAGTAGCTGGGACTACAGGCACCCACCACCGCACCTGGCTAATTTTTTGTATTCTTAGTAGAGACGGGGTTTCACCGTGTTAGCCAGGATGGTCTCGATCTCCTGACCTCATGATCCGCCCGCCTTGGCCTCCCAAAGTGCTGGGATTACAGGCGTGAGCCACCGCGCCAGGCCAAAGCGGGTGTTTTAAGAGCCCCCAGCTCTGGTTCTAGTACCAGACCAGCTAACAATGCTGCCCCGATGCGAAGTGAAGGGGAGCTGGGCATGGGTGTTCACTGTGTGCCTTTCACAGGATACGTCTACTTGGAGGGTGGCCTAAAGCCTAGTTCTCCAACCTGTAACCAGGAGGGCTCTCTCACAGGAACCTTGTTTATACTGGCAGATACCCACGTGGCTCTTGTCTGATCGGGTCCAGTTTATGCCTGTCTGACTGTCACTCTGCTGCTGGGAGCCTGACTTTGTGCTCTCCTTGGTGCCTTGGAGAAAATCAGGCCTGGGGCAGCCCCTAGTTCTTCAGATGGAAGGTGCAAATTCAGTACAGCACCCTCATAGGAAACAAGTCCAAAGATTTTCACTTAAACAGTTCCTGGGCAGGGAGAGCACCATGAGTCTTTGGTCACTAGGTCATGTGAGGCAGGAATGAGGGATCAGGTGGAGAGAGAGAGAGAGAGAGAGAGAGAGAGAGAGAGAGAGGGAGGGAGGGAGGGAGGGAGGGAGGGAGGGAGGGAAGAGAGAGAGAGAGAGAGAGAGAGAGAGAGGAGAGAGAGAGAGAGCGCGAGCAGCTAGCAGTATATTTTGCATAATACAGTGTGGGCCATTTTCAATTTGAGGGTAAATGCATGAATGGTCCCTTTAAAGGAAGCAATGGGAGAGTGGGGAGCCCAGGGGGCTAGCGGTAGAAATGCCTCTAAGTTCTTATCTCTGGCCACCAGCTCCAACCATTTGGGTGTGATGTAGAAAAGAAAAAAAGGAAGAAGGACAGAGGAGCCAGCTCTGCTCTTGCTGGTCTTAAGCAGGACCAGATGGGACACGCCCCCTTACGCACCCAGCTGCTGTTCTCGAAGGCACTTAAGGGCTCTAGCTCACCTGGAGTTTTGAAGGGGATGCGGAAGAGCTTGATGTTGCAGCCTTCCTCTCTCCTTGGCAGAGTCTCTGGTGATAGAGACATGGAAGAAGTTTCCAAGGCTGGCCCTGGGTCAAGCAATGCAAAACAGAATTTATTTGTGGAGAAAGTTTATGTTCCATTCAGCTGTAAGTTACAATGGCCATGACTCTGAGAGGCTGTCTCATAGGTTTATATAATTTGACACTCATAGAAGGAGAGGCCTCCTTTTACCTGAATGTTGTTCATTCCTAGCTTTTTATCCTTGGATTGGTTGGTGAAAAAGCAGCCAGCCTTGACTGAATTATGTGTGGAGTTGGGAGAGAGGAAGGAGGTTTCTAGGTCTGTGTTGGTGACCTAATTCTGTATTATGTTTTCAGCTTTGCTGACCTAATTCTGCATTATGTTTTCATTGAGTGAGCTTTTTATTTTTATATCCCTTTCTGGTAACGGAACTACCTTTAAGACTTTCAGTTTTTCCATGTCCCAACTTGCCACATTTTACGTGCACTTGAAAATTCACTCCTTAAGCTATTTTTCATTCTTTCAACCCAGTAGGAATAATATTGCCTGTTTATTATTTGAATAGCAGCATTACTGCTGGTATTATAAAGTCGCTGGTCTTGAGCATAATTTGTATGTGTAATAAGTTAATATTTGTTGTCAAGGCTTTAAAGGGGCTGTGTCTTTGGTGTTGGATTTTAATAGTTAATGAACCAATGGAATCTTTTTAGTTTTATTGCCTTCCTTGGGTGATTAGATATGCATCATCAGACCTGGTTTGCTTTCACCAACGCTGAAAACAGGTTCCTTGTTAAACACGTCAGTTACTTGTTTCTGGAAGTTACATTTACCACATACTGTGATGACTGGCATTGTTTTTTGGGTTTCCGTTTCAATGAAAAAAATTACTTGAAAAATGTTCTCTTATATTTTGAAACTGTGATACTCATGTTAGCTTGTGATTAGCACTAGCATTTGAGGAACATTCTAAATTCAATCTCTCAGGCATTTTGGTTTCTTTGTTTCTAAAACTTGTTCAATTATGCCTGATTTCCACTGGTAAGACATAATAACTCTTTTGTGCAAATTGGATGTTTGTATCACTTCCCTGCTTTTTAGTAAACTTTGAAATTCTTTTCAATTCCTGAAACTAAGTGGGAATAGTAACTAGATTAACCATGGCTTTTTTGTTGTTGTTGTTGTTGGAGAGACTGTAGCCTTGACCACCCAGCCTCAAGTGATCCCCCTGCCTCAGCCTCCTGAGTAGCTGAGACTACAGGTGCAAAGCACCAGCCCACCTAATATATATATATATTTTTAATAGAGATGAGGTCCTACTGTGTTGCCCAGGCTGGTCTTGAACTCCTGGCCTCAAGCGATCCTCCCACCTCTGCCTCCCAAAGTGCTGGGATTATGGGTGTGAACCACCGTGCTCAGCTAGCTTTTAAAAATAATGAGCATGAGGCAGGTGGATCACCTGAGGTCAGGAATTCAAGATCAGCCTGGCCAACATGGTGAAACCCCGTCTCTACTAAAAATACAAAAAGTTATTTGGGAGGCTGAGACAGGAGAATTGCTTGAACCTGGGAGGCAGAGGTTGCAGTGAGCCGAGATTGTGCCATTGCACTCCAGCTTGGAAGACAGAGTGAGACTTCATCTGAAAAAAATAAAAATAAAAATAATGAACAGGACATCATTGCTTGAAAATTATTTCTAAAAATCAGGACATTCCAAAAATAATGGTTCCTTTGAAAGTATTAAGCCCTTCTTGTTGCAGGCCTTGTGGGTGTGATTGGTTTGTGTGTGAGAAAACCATGCTAAATGTAAATAAGTACATTTAGTAACTCTTTAAGGAACAATTAGTTCCTTTTCCCAGGATAAATTTATTTTACAAGAAGTGATAAAGTGAATATTTTGTAAGAAGTATAATTTTAAAATTATTTAATGTGATTTTTTGGCACATCTAATATGCAAATATAGTATTTATATTTCCCTTTCCCGTTACTAAAGGGAAAAATAACTCTAGTGAAGAAAGCGGAAGAAAGGTCTTTTTGGTCTCTGCCCTTCACTCTGACTGTATTTCTTTGCTGTAGCTGTATTAACTGAGTAGTTAGCTCTAATTACATAGTTCATCTTTGCAGCAGCCTCAACTGATTCAGTTTAAAATCAGATTAAAACAAAACGTCCTTCTTCTTGTGTGTGCAACCCCATAATTTAGACTGTTCTGAGCTTTTAAAAGAATGCTTAGCCAGTTTTTTTCTCCAACCGTAATTTGACATAATTTCCTTAAAAAGCAAGGAAATTATGCCACATTTAAAGATCCTAGATTTAGTTGTCTAGGGGCTGTTTCTGATGATCAGGATAAATTAAGTGGACCACCATGCAATGTTTTCTTGTATGAGTAGTGGCGAGAGCCAGGGGTGGGAGATGAGGGGTTAGTTAGTCTTAAACAGCTCAGCAGGAAGAGTTGGCAGAGTTGGGATTCTGCATCTTTGACCTTTTAGCATTTCAGTGGGTCTTTGTTTTCATATGGACTTTTCCCTCTCCTCCATTTTCTTCCCCTTTTTTATATAAACTTTAAAAAATTGGTAATATTTAGATGCCCTCTGAGCTTTGGAAAGGCATTTTTGTTGTTGTTGTTGTTTCAGTCCATTGGGTACATTTAGTTCTGCTGTATCTACATCAGAAAAACCCTAAGTGTAATAAAGCACGTGAAGTATTACATTAGCTCAAGTTCCTTCTTGAGTCACTTCAGCTGTGGAGTTTCTCTTCCTTTTGCTACTTAGAAAATTGGGGCCTTTGGCTGGAGAATCACTTGAACCCAGGAGGCGGAGGTTGCAGTGAGCTGAGATCGTGCCATTGCACTCCAGCCTGGGCGACAAGAGTGAAACTCTGTCTCAAAAAAAAGAAAAGTAGGCTTTGGAATCAAAGAGTCCCCAAGCCACAGAAAGCTCCACCATAGCTCCAAGTCCTGCAAACCAAACAACTTTCAACTTCCCCATGTAAGTCCGGCATTTGGTTTATGATTTGGCAAATGCTGAAAGGAGGAGCTTTCACGCCAGCAATTGTAAGAAGGAAACTTAGCACTAGCTCCACAGCATAGCAGAGAGAGAACTATGTCAACTTGAAGATTTATATTAAATAGAGAAACAAGGGATTGGTTTAGATATATAGATGACTTATAAAGAGGAAGTTTGGGGTGGTGATTAAGGCCAGATCATTGGCTTTAGATAAATCTGATTCAAAATCTGGATGAGCATCATTAACAAGTCAGAAAAACAATAGATGTTAGTGTGGATGTGGTGAAAAGGGAACACTTATACGCTGCTGGTGGGAATGTAAATTAGTATAATCTCTATGGAAAACAGTATGCAGATTTTTTTTTTTTTTTTTTTTTTGAGACGGAGTCTTGCTCTGTCACCCAGGCTGTAGTGCAGTGGCCTGATCTCGGCTCACTGCAAGCTCCACCTCCTGGGTTCATGCCATTCTCCTGCCTCAGCCTCCCAAGTAGCTGGGACTACAGGTGCCCACCACCACGCTCGGCTAATTTTTTGTATTTTTAGTAGAGATGGGGTTTCACCGTGTTAGCCAGGATGGTCTCGATCTCCTGACCTCGTCATCCACCTGCCTCGGCCTCCCAAAGTGCTGGGATTACAGGCGTGAGCCACCGTGCCTGGCCTCAGATTTTTTAAAGAACTAAAAGTAGATGTATCATCTGATCCAGCAATCCCACTGCTGGGTATCTACCTAAGGAAAAATAAGTCATTATATGAAAAAGACACATGTATGCATGTATTTACAGCAGCATGATTCACAATTGCAAAGACGTGGAACCAACCTAAGTGCCCTTTGAGCAATGAGTGGATAAAGAAAATGAGATATACACACACACACACACACACACACACACACACACACACACACACCATGGGATACTACTCAGCCTTTAAAAAGAATGAAATAATGTCTTTTGCAGTGACTTGAATGGAGCTGGAGGCCGTTATTCTAATTGAAGTAACTCAGGAATGGAAAACCAAATACTGTATGTTCTCGTTTATATGTGGGAAGTAAGGCATGTTCACACAAAGGCATACAGAGTGGAGACCCAGAACGGGGAGAATGGGTGAGGGATAAAAAACTAGATAGTGGGTACAATGTACACTACTCGGGTGACAGGTACACTAAAATCTCAGACTTCACCACTATGCAATTCATCCATGTAGCCAAAACCACTTGTACCCCAAAAGCTATTGAAATAAAAATAAAGTGATAAACATAAAAAGAAACACAAAACAACAGCCCACAAAATCTGGCTGAGCCACTGACTAGCCAGGTGACCTTGATCTATTTAAGAGTTTTTCATCTATAAAGATAATATATAATGTTTAAGGGGGTTATTGTGGGAATAACATACCTATTGTGATGTCTAACACAAAGTAAGTTCTCAGTAATGGGTTATTTTTCGTCAATATTTTGTCATGTGTGTGCAAAGTGAGAAATAGACATTACAAATTTCTTTGTGGCTGTCTAGTTGAACTAAGAATGATGGATATTGTCTTCAGCATTAAATGTACCCATGGATAAGGTAAATTGATGTGATATTCAGTGGTGCTGATAGGCTGGAGGCAATTCTCCCACCTCCTGCCTGATGAACTCCTGGTTTTCCTTTAAACCCCACTCTTTGTCAATATCCCTGACCCTCCAGATAGCTCTTTCCTCTCCTCTGTTTTGCCTTTGTACCCAGGCCACTAGTCTGTTGTTACCTTTATCATGGAGTTCCTATGTTCTTCCTCCTGGACTATGAGCATTTGAGACAGGGATTATTTTATTCATATTCTCCCTCTTCCCACCCACTGTCTAGCACAGGGCTTGGCATATCCATTAGTTGGATTGAAATTGATTAGATTTAATTGAATCAAATCCTGTATAGAAAACAGGGTCATACCAAATATTTGGGGCTCACAAGGCTGTTGACAAAGTCTGTGAGATGCCTCATTTTACAGCCTTGTTTTTGATTCCAGGCCCCAATCTTAGTTAAGCACCAGATTATACATCACATCTGATATCATTCAAGACTCTTAATTGTCATTGCAGACAACGTGGTGGCATTCAGCTGCGAGCAGATGTAAGGTTTCTTGAGGCTTTACTGTTGGATTTGCTGTTCTCAGGGATATGAACAGCTGTGTGGTTCAGGCTTCTGGAATTAAGAGAGCCAATGTAACAATAAGGAGTAAGAGCTCAAGTATAAGTCAGGAATCATGCTCAGATGTCTGGGTTGCCTGGTGAGAATGTTCAAATGGATTTAATACTTTATCTTGACCAGGTGCAGTAGCTCATCCTTGTAATCCCAGCACTTTGGGAGGCTGAGGTGGGAGGATTGCTTGAGCCCGGGAGCTCAAGACCAGCTTGGGCAACAAAGTGAGATCCTGTATCTACAAAAAATAAAAAATAAAAAAATTAGCTGGGCATGGTGGTTCGTACCTGTAGTCCTAGCTAGTTGGGAGGCTGAGCGGGGAGGATCGCTTGAGCTTTTAGGATTTTGAAGCTGCAGTGAGCTATGATCACGCCACTGTGCTCCAGTCTGGGAAAGAGTGAGATCCTGTCTCGAAAAAAAAAAAAAACCTTTAACTGCCAAAAGGGGTATTTCTTTATTCACAGCCTCTATCGATGTACAGGATTACTTTTGTATCCTTCAGTATCCTTTTTAAGAAAATGGCAATAAGTTATTCCACTTATGGTGCCCATTGCTATTATTTCTTTTTACAATTATAACAAAAATAATTTTGTCATATAGAGAAGGATGGTGTTACAAATTAATTTACATGAGGTCAAATTTTCTAGGTAGGCTACTGCTTCTGGGATAATTTTCCACATAAACTTTGCCATCTCTAATAACTTTACTTGTACTCCTATACTCAAGTAAGCAAATCCTGCTTTTATATAATGACATGTTTCTGGAAAACCCGTATGTAATCAGAATCTTTGGAAAACATCTAAAATACATAATTTTGAACATGTGAGCTATCCATTTTCTTTTCAACAGGCTTACACCCCAGTTACCTTCTCTTCTTTTTTTATTCTTAAAACGGAAGTGAGAAGCTCCCATAAAGGGATATTTGGTGTTCTGGGCAAAGGATGTTAGATGCTTTTCCCACCCATCCGATGCCTTGTTTTGATTAACGGAGGCATAGCTTAGCTCCTTTCATCCCCAGAATAACTTTGTTCCAACCTCATGGGTCCTCCTTGGTCCTAAAGACAGTTTAAGATGATGTCAGATAACACCACATGTAAGACCTCTGCTTCCCATAACTTTGAAGTCACAGGCCAGCTTCTACCCAGCTGGAACTGAAATAGCAAAAGGTTACCTGCCAAAGGCCATCCAGGAACCACTTAGGCCAAAGATAAAGACATGGTTTCTCTGATGCAGCCTGAGGACAGGGTAGATGCAAATCGTATCTAGAAACAGGCTTTGGGCGCAGTGACTCACATCTGTAATCCTAGCACTTTGGGAGGTCAAGGCAGAGGATCACTTGAGGCCAGGAGCCCAAGACCAGCCTGGGCAACATAGCAAGACCCCATCTTTACAAAAATAAATAAATAAAAAGCTGGGTGTGGTGGTACATGCCTGTAGTGCTAGCTACTCAAGAAGCTGAGGCAAGAGGATCAGTTGAGCCTAGGGGTTCAAGGTTACAGTGAGCTGTAATCATGCTGCTGCTGCACTCCAGTCTGGGTGACAGAGCAAGACTGTATCTCTAAAAAAATAAAAAATAAATTAGAAACAGGCATATAATATGTGCTTGAATAATATGTGTTGGCTAAATGAATGAGTGCCTCACTGTTACTGGTAAAATCAACTAAGAATTTCTGAATGTCCCTTAGATTGTTCTTAAGGAGTAGTATCATCAAATTCTTAGACTCCCTTCATATCCACATGCTTAGATATAGTCACTGCATTCACTTGTAGATTTTCCCAAATGTATTTTCACAAGAGCTCTTTTAATAGTGGCTTAGATAGAACTTCTCTATAATTCATTCTATTTGTTCAAAGTATGAAAGTAATACCTGTGATGGGATGACTTGTTATCTGGATATCACTGCCATACTGTTATAAGCCAGCCTGCCCCCCAAATCCTTTAATTTTCCTTGCTTTGCTTAGTGCAGGTGAAGCATTCCTGCCCTTGGCCTCCTCCCACAGAGCCAGTTTTCTGCTGGATGGCAGTAAGAGTTAATCAGATATGCTCATCCGAGCACAAGCATCAGCCAAAGTGTGTGCCACTGTCTGACATAAAACGAAGATGTTTCCTGAAGATGTTTAAGGAAAGCAATTAATTGTGTGAATTTCAGGCTAATGGGGGAAAAGTTCCATGGCATTTCCAGAGGAAATTCTGGCTTCAGCATTAGAAAGATCAGGATATAAATCTGGCTCCTGAAATTTATTTGCTGGCTGATCTTGACCAAGCCCTCTGAGAATCAGTTTCCTCATCTTAAAAATGGGAATGATGATTCTAATTGGCAGGATTGGTTGTTTATTTATTTATTATTTTTATTTTTTTGAGACAGAGTCTCTGTCTCTCTGTAACCCAGGCTGGAGTGCAGTGGCACAATCTCGGCTCACTGCAACCTCTGCCTCCTGGGTTCAAGCAATTCTCCTGCCTCAGCCTCCTGAGTAGCTGGGATTACAGGCATGCACCACCACGCCTGACTAATTTTTGTATTTTTTAGTAGAGATGGGGTTTCACCATGTTGACCAGGCTGGTCTCAAACTCCTGACATCAGGTGATCCACCTGCCTTGGCCTCCTAAAGTGCTGGGATTACAGGCGTGAGCCACTGTGCACAGCCAGGCAAGGTTGTTTAGTTTAGGTGGAATAACAGATGTTAGCATGCCTAGCATATTATAGGCTGTATTAATTGGCAGGTATAATTGTGGTGTATAGAGCCATTTTAAACTTCTCTGAAGTTATATTCTGTATGTGAGTTTCTGCCTGGATAGCTGATGCCAAGAACTGGTTTCCCTTGGAGTTAATAGGAAAACTCTTTCAGTTGGAATTGGTATCCAGACACTTAAGGATCATTAGTCTGGATGTTGGTTTTATTATTTGTTTCATGTATGTTGTTTTATTATTCTTAAATTATCTCCTTTGGATTTATTGGCGTCTTCTCCAGTGTATGTCATGCTAACCACATAGTAATTTGATGGTTAAAGGGATGAGGCATTCACTTGGAGACAATAGCATTTCCCTGATAGGAGGTCAATGTTTACCCTTAAATAAAGGGGTGGTTTTACATGTGTTCATAATAAAGGCAAGAAAGTATTACTTTGGATGAGTCTCTTACATTTACATGTACAGGGTCTAGAAACTACCCTAAAAGAGGCACACAATTATAACTTGAATATATGTTAAGATGATAAGCCTTAGGTTTTTCTACTTGCAGGGCTTGGGGGTGGAGGGGGGAACTATTATTTCTCCTTACATGAAAAACCCCAATTAAAGTATTAAGGAGATTTAGAAGCCCCTGCTAAAGGCTCTGAGAAGATGATCTGGGCTGTTTATTAACCCATTAATCCAGTGTACTTAATTCCTTTTGGCTAAGGGGGAAATGTTTTTTCCCCTTAATTTCCACACTAAATGAAACACTTAGACTCTGGTATCTATTTTTCATGAATGAATATGAGAGGTGCAAAAGCCATTTAATTTGCCTGTCAGTTTCTTTATAAAATGAGGGAGCTGGACCAGGCAGTCTTCTGTGCTGCCATTCTCTGAATTGTAATGCAAATTGGAAGGATTGAATGACTATGCAACATCTGTCAGTCACTCCACACGCTTCAGACGTCTGGCCTCTAGAAGATTGTAAACTTCTAATATTCAAAGGGAAGAAGTTGTTTAAACTGTCATACATGGAGTGAAAAAGCAGTAAGAGAATTTTGATTTTTCAGTTTGCTTTTTTTTTCTTCTCCACCGGCAAGTCATTGCTTCTTCATAAAGTTTAGAAAATGTTTCTGTTGAGTTGTTCTGGGTGCCTTCTCAGGAATGTTGTGCTTTTCTCTGGTAGAGAATGTGCTGTGTTAGCTGGGCGCAGTGGCTCACACCTGTAATCCAGCATTTTGGGAGTCTGAGGCAGGTGGATCACTTGAAGTCAGGAGTTCGAGACCAGCCTGGCCAACATGGTGAAACACCACCTCTACTAAAAATACAAAAATTAGCTGGGCATGGTGGTGCACGCCTGTAATCCCAGCTACTCAGGAGACTGAGGCAGGAGAATTGCTTGAACCCAGGAGATGGAGGTTTTGAGATGCTGTCTCAAAACAAACAAACAAACAAACAAAAAAATGAGCGAGAGAGAATGTGCTGTGTTAAAAACTTTTTTTTTTCCCTTCTATGGAGCTTTTTGAGATGGGGTCTCTGTCACCCAGGCCGGAGTACAGTGGCGTGATCATAGCTCACTGCAACTTTGAACTCCTGGGCCGAAGGGATCCTCCTGCCTCAACCTTCTGAGCAGCTGGAACTACAGGTTCATGCCACCATGACTCACTGATTTTTAAAATTTTCTGTAGAAACAGGGTCTCGCTTTGTTGCCCAGACTGTTCTATGGAGATTCTTAAAACTCTGCCCACTGCAGCCTACTACACTATTTTCTGTAGGTTTTGTTACAAATTTGCTTCATAAAGCTTAAAAATGCAAAGATCAAGTAGTCTGGAATTAATTTGTAAGTGACATATAAGTTCAGACTTCCTGTCAAATTTGACTTCCTCTTCTATTTTTAAAATTTCACTAGTTTTTACTATATATTTTGGTGGTAACTTTGAGAGAAACACTTTGAGAAAAACATATTACCTCTCCCAAGAGTTTACAAAGAATACATATATCACATTTTAACAGTTAATGAAATACTTTACTCATACTTAAACTCATTTAACCTTCACTTAAATCGATTTAAAGTCTCACAACACGTTCGTAAGGTTAAACATTATTATATTGATCAACTTTTTATGGATTAGGAAATGGAGATGTAGGAAGGTTATGTTAAAAGGGAAACTTTAGAAAATTAAATTCAGCAGAGCTTAATTGAGCAATGGATGATTCAAGAATAGGGCAGCCCCCCAAAACCCGAACAGGGTCAGAGCACTGTGGCCTGCAATATGGTCAGGTGGCATTTATGGACAGAAAACAGGAGTGAGATACTGAGACTGCTGGATTGGTTGCAGCTCAGCGTTTGCCTTAGTTGAAGATGGTCTGGTCAACTGGCTCCCTGCGATTGACTAAAGCGTGGCTGTTGTGGTTGGCTGAGACTCAGTGATTTATTATAAAAGTATACAGATGAGGAAAATGAGTCTTAGAAAGGCCAATACGTTTCCTAGGAAACCATGGCTAGTACGTGATGGCACAGTGATGCTCAGTAGGAACTCCGACACAACTCTCCAGGGTTTCTTTTTCTTTTTTTTTTTTTTTTTTGAGATGGAGTGTCGCTCTGTCACCCAGGCTGGAGTGCAGTGGCACGATCTCAGCCCACTACAACCTCCACCTCCCGGGTTCCAGCGGTTCTCCTGTCTCAGCCTCCTGAGTAGCTGGGATTACAGGCGCCTGCCACCATGCCTGGCTAATTTTTGTATTTTTAGTGGAGATAGGGTTTCACCATGTTGGCCCGGCTAGTCTTGAACTCCTGACCTCAGGTGATCCACCTGCCTTGGCCTCCCAAAGTGCTAGGGTTAGAGGCATGAGCCACCATACCCAGCCAACTCCTGGGTTTCTTAGATGAGTGTCTTTAAGTGAGATGCCTCTCTTATGTCCTTTCAACTAAGCAAGGTATATAGGTGCCAGATGAATGTGAATGTGAAAAGACACTTGAGTGTTTGCTTGAGTGTCTAATTAAATTCCCTTTATTTTTATGGCTTTAGACAAGGATATTCACAAATGCATGTGAGTTTGGTTTTCACCTTAGGCAACTTCCATTCTTTTCACAAATGTTTATTGAATATTTATGTTCCATGCAGCATACTAGGCACAGTAGTGAACCAACTGTAGACACAATCTCCCCTCCTGTGACATATTTGTCTAGAGACATAGACAAATAGGTCTTTAAATACCATGTACTATTTGCTCTCATGAGGATTTGTCCAATTTGGGAGAAAGGTTAACTTCTTTAAGCCAGTAGGTGTTTTCCATAACATTTTTTTTTTGAGAATTCACCAGATTTATTGCCCATGGATGTACATCAAATAGTTCTTAGAAACAATAGATATGTTTTTCATTAGATATGCCTGAGAATGTACTAAACATTTGGTGGTGTTTCTTCCTTTGAACATTAAGTGAGTTTCAAGCAGGTATTGCGTTGTTTGCCAACAGAGAAGTCATGCTCAGCCTAGCACATAAAGGAGATTATGACTTTATAATATATGAAGGGAAAACAATAGGTATGGATTTTAAGTAGATAACACTAAAGATGGGAAATGTAAGTACAATTCCCTTTGAAGCAGTGTTAAATTACAAATGCTGTCTACTATTATTTCTTGGATGAAGAAAGTAAAAAAAAAAAACTTGAAACATTAGTTCTGATTTTTCCGGTATACATCATCTACTTAGCCCTACATGTCCAGGGAAGATAAAACATACAGTGGAAGGTTTGAAAAATAATAAACTCATCCGTTGATTTCAATCAGGTAATTAATTTTTTGGTAATGCTTGCTTTACAGATTTGCAGATAAATCATGGCAGGAACTCAATAAAAAAGAATGAAGTGTAGGACAATTTTAAATATTATTATTTATTGCCATCAGTGAAAGTCACTACCTGTGTTTCCTTTTGTTCACTGGACCCTCTTTTAGGCATGACTGCATATCACCTCCTTATCTGCTCTCCTCACAACTGTGATGCTGTCACTCACACTTGACCCAACCTACTTGCTCTTGGCCTTATAAGGGAATGCATGTCTGGTAGAAATCGTAGCATCTCTATCTCAGCTTTGGTTAAGGGTGGAATTCATCTCCAGAATTGTATACCTTCCAGTACTACTTTATGCTGTTGGGCCCAAAGCTGTCCATAACCCACACAACACCACCCAGTGGCTTATGTTCTAGGATCAGAGCTATAAAATCCAGAAGGCTCATGATGCTGCAGGTTCTTTGCCAGCCCATCTAGACGTCCCTGCTACCGTCTGAACTTTTATGTTCTTCCAGAAATCTTATTGTTAGCCAGGTGCAGTGGCTCATGCCTGTAATCCCAGCATTTTGAGAGGCCAAGGCTGGTGGATCACTTGATGCCAGGAGTTGGAGACCAACCAGGCCAACATGGCAAAACCCCATATCTACTAAAAATACAAAAATTAGCCAGGCATGATGGTGCATGCCTGTAATCCCAGTTACTCAGGAGGCTGAGGCATGAGAATCGCTTGAACCTGGGAGGCGGAGGTTGCAGTGAGCCAAGATCATGTCACTGCACTGCAGCCTGGGTGACAGGCTGTCTAAAAAAAAAAAAAAAACAACAACAAAACACTCAAAATCTTATTATTGAAACCCTAACCCCTAAGGTGATGGTATTTGAGGGTGGGACCTTTGGGAATTGATTAGAGTATGGGAGCAGAGTCCTCATGAATGGGATTCATATTCCTATAAAAGAGATACCAGAAAACTTGCTGCTTCTGTCTTCTGCCTTGTGCAAACACAATAAGAAGTCAGTACCTATGAGCCAGAAATTGGGCCCTCACCAGACACTGAGTCTGCCTTGATCTTGGACTTCCCAGCCTCCAGAACTGTGAGAAATAAACTTGTTGTTTATAAGCTACCCGGTCTATGGTATTCTGTAATAGCAGCCTGAATGGACTAAGACTCTCTACTTCTCCACTTCTCTGGGATTTGTTTTTGTGCATCTAGTCCTGGTTTTTTTTTTTTAGACTCTTTCTGTTTAGCTATTGGGCACAGAGTCCAGTATTGCTAAGGCCTCAGTGTTTGCCCCAGGGCCTGGCAAATAGCATTGGACCTCCAGAACCCTGGAGCTCAGGCAAATTTCCTTGAGGCTGAACTATAGTGTGACTCTTCTTAGATGGGTTGTTTGGGATTGGCATCACGTGATGTCCCTAAGCAGGTAGATAGGAAAAAGCTGATGTTTAACAGCCATTTACCATTGTTTTCCCTAAAGACAGTATTTTCAGGCCACTGGCCAAATGCTTAAAACTCCTTGGAGTAAGGCATTGGGTTTGCAGCTCCTTTCTCCCCCTGTGCCACTACTCAGGAAGAAACCTAAGGCAGGACAAGGAAATTGTGTTGTGTTTCCCTGCATGAGTTAGAGACATCAGATTCTTTTTAAAGGCAGCATCATGTCTTGTCATTCCTTAAAGTGGGTGGACCTCAGCCACTTGTCCTGACTTGTTGAGATTTGCACTGAGAAGCAGTATGTCTGAATGAAACTCCTGTCCTCTACTGAGACCTCAGGAAGCCCTGCCTTTTCTCCGAGCCAAAGATCTCCACAGCTCCACCACCTCCAAGAATCCTTTTACAGCCAGCCGCAGTCACCCTCTGCCCGGCCTCCTCTCGCCCCAGCACGCACCCCCACAACTGGCTGTTTCTTCAGTCTCCAAATCAACTTGGAAGGTTTCTTCGGCTGCTTTATTTGTTTTTCTTTTTTGCATGGTGCTCTGCACCATGCAAAACAGTTTGGTTCTCTCCATCACTGAGTGAGGCAGTATAGTGTGTTCATGACAATAGGATTATATCTGACTTGCAGATTAAGTGAAATAATATACGTAAAGCCCCAAGCCCAGCACTTGGTATACATGGTAGGGATGTAATAAACACTAACTTGCTTGATTCTTTCTCTCTCTGTCTCTCTGTGTGTGTGTGTGTGTGTGTGTGTGTGTGTGTGTGTGTGTGTTTCTGGCAGCAAGTGATGTGTGGACAGGCTCTTCAACTTTTGCTTGGTGAGCAGCATGATAGTGTTATGATTAAGAGAGCAGACCTTGGTCCTCTACTGTTTGGGTTCAGATTCATTCTCTAGGTAACTTTGGCTTTGACTAAGCAAACTTAGTCAATTTACTTAGCCTCTATGCCTCCGTTTTTAAAAAGTCTGTAGAGTTAGCACTAAGAATAGTTCCTAGTCATAGCACTGTTATGAACATTAAATTAGTTAATAGATGAAGTGCTTGTAATACCATGTGCCTGGTATGTAGCACTAAGTGTTAAATCTGGGAGAAATGTCCTGTTGTATTAGTAATAAAAGTGGGACCACAGAGGCCATGTTGTATAAAGCAGTGGGCTTTCATTCCTATGCAGCATTAAGGGAGGTGAGTTCCGTCTCTTTGGGAAGACCCAGGTCATATTGGAGCTAAATTCATGGAATAGGGGCTTCAAAACTGGAGTCAAAAATCCCTTGAGTTGTCTCAAAAAAAAAAAAAAATCCCTTGAAGCAGCTTTGCTGGGATCAGTATTTCTGACTCAGTTGAGTAAGACAGACACATTTCTCAAACCCCATCATAAGAATCACCTGGGGCACTTATCAGACACACCGACTAGGGCCTTGCCCCAGACCTACTGAATCAGAGACTTCAGGGAGGGGCCTTGGAATCTGATGTCTAACAACCCACACAAATAGTACCACCTGGAAACACTAAGTCGCCTGGGAAGCTTAAGAAAATGCCTGTTGCCTGGGTCTCATGCGCTGGATGTTCTGATTTGATTGTTTTGGGGTTTTGGCATACAGGCATGGGACCTTTTTTTTTTTTTTTTTTTTTTTTTGAGCTTCTCCACTGTATCTAATGTAAGCCAGGGTTGAAAACCACTAAAATCCTATATAAGTCAGTATTTTTCAGAATCTGTTGGGGGTGCGTGTTAAAAATGTAGATTTATAAGCCCCAGCCTGCTGAATTGGACTCCTGGTAGTTGGGGTAGAATGAGGGTGGGAATAGAGGGAGTGAGGCCCTGGAATTTGCATTCAAAACACTTTCCATATGATTTTTCTGCATGCAGGACTTTGAGAGCTACCTGCTGAATAGTGGTTTCCCTTAGTAGGCATGTGTGAAAATAGCTGAATGAATGACACCTAATCATTGCAGTATTTCCTTTTCTTCTCAACCAATCTGTTAGAAATTTCTTTATTCAAGTCAGGTGCAGTGGCTCACGCCTGTAATCCCAGCACTTTCAGAGGCCGAGGCAGGCAGATCACTTGAGGTCAGGAATTTGAGACCAGCCTGGCCAACATGATGAAACCCTGTCTCTACTAAAAATACTAAAAGTAGTCAGGCGTGGTGGCAGGTGCCTGTAATCTCAGCTACTCAGGAGACTGTGGCAGGAGAATCACTTGAAACCGGGAAGTGGAGGTTGCAGCGAGCTGAGATCAGCCACTGCACTCCAGCCTGGGCAACAGAGCAAGACTCTTGTTTCAAAAAAAAAGTATTCATGTACTGTAGGGAAATTCATTACCTTCATTACTTGCTCTCTTTTGATTGGTATAGAGTTTCTAGTAGTTGCTTCATTTTTAATATATTCTGATTTACCCTGGCAGAAATATATGGGAGTTTTTTATTTACATTCCTGGCCATGTGAAGGTATCAGTTCAGATGATGAAACCTGATCAACATACCACAGAACACGACTGGCTGAACAGGTTGTGTAGTTCGGCACAGAGTAGCTGTATTCTCAAGGCTGTTAAAGCAAGGGTCTGACACCACTAAGTGTTAGTAGTGGGTTGATATCTATTATGGAAATGGATATGTAAAGCAGCCAAAACCCGATGGCATGAAATAGTTACATAGTCAACCTCTCTTGAGATCTAATTCATATTCCACTCACCAATAAACTCTGATACTTGGACTTCCCATATAGCTTGTCTAGACCCTTGCTGTTTAAAGTGGGGTCCATGGGCCAGGAGCACTGGCATCACCTGGGAACTTGTTAGAAATGGAGACTCTCAGACCCCACTCCAGCAAGCCTAGCATGTTGGGTTTGCCTGATGATGTGGCATCCTGTTTTTCTATATCATACTCATTTCTATTAGTGTGAGTCAGCATCCATGAGTTTGATTAACGTCAAGACACTGATGAAGTCATTGCTGAGCTTGTGAGGCTGAGAGCCGACCCTGGGCAGAGGTGAATTTATCAAGAGAATATCCCTAAAGGGGTGGCCCATTGGCTGCCTTCAGGTGACCTCCCTTCTTGTGGGGTGTACTTTAATTTTAGCATTGAGACCCACTACAAATTGCCTCAGATAACAGCAGGGGGCTCATTTCCATTCTGGCATGTGCACTCCAGTGAACTCCCCTTGTTCCCAGATGCATGAACATGCTTCCTCAAGCTGCTTTTCAGCCAGCCTGGACTTCAGCAGTTTGTGAGAGTCTTTGCAAATGGTGAAGAAAGAGTCTTGTTGAAATCCTATTCGGTACATCTGTCTATGAATTATTATAACTTTTTTTCAGGCTGGGTACCGTGGCTCACAACCATAATCCCAGTACTATGGGAGGCTGAAGGTGGAGGATTGCTTCAGTCCAGAAGTTTGAGACTGGCCTGAGCAACATGCAAAACCCCATCTCTAAAAAAAAATAAAAAAATAAAAAAAGCCAGGCATGGCGGTGCACAGCTGTGGTCCCAGTTACTTGGGAGGCTGAGGCAGGAGGATCACTTGAGCCCAGGAGGTCGAGGCTGCAGTGAACTTTGACTGCACCACCGCACTCCAGCCTGGGTGACAGAGCTAAAAACAAACAAACAAACAAAAACAACAAGGATTTTTTTTTTTTTTCATTTTAAAGACTACTTATTCAGAGCAGTTTTAGGTTCACAGCAAAATTGAGAGGAAAGCATATGGGATATTCCATATACTCCCTGTCCCCACACATTCATGGCCTCCCCTGTTCTCAGTATTACCCACTACCTCTGGTATGCTTAATAGTTTTTAATTGAAGTACATGATTTATTCACACTTCGTTAGTTTTTTTTAAGATTAAGAACATTTATTGCATTTATTTTCTTTTTTTTTTAAATTTTTTTAGTATTTATTGATCATTCTTGGGTGTTTCTCGGAGAGGGGGATTTGGCATTAGTTTTTACCTGATATCATTTTTCTGTTCTAGGATCCCATCCAGGATACCATACTCTATTTAGTCATCATCCTTCCTTAGGCTGATCTTGGCTAAGTTTTTCAGACTTTTCTTGTCTTTGATGACGTTTTAATTTTGGGGAGTACTTTCAGAGTATTTTTAGACTGCCCTTCCATTGGGATTTGGAATTTGTTGGATGTTTTTCTCATGATTAGATTGGGGTGCTAGGATTTTAGAAGGAATACTGCAGCAGAGTGTCTTTCTCCTCACATCATATCAGGGGTACCGACTACCTCTTTAAAGACAATATCTTCAAATACAGTCACATTTTGAGGTGCTAGGGGTTAGGACTTTAACATGTGAATTTTGGGGGAACACCATCAGGTCCATAACACTCCTCAAAGGAGTCTCGGATAGATACACATTTTTGCAAAACATTAACAAGAAAGGGCAATCATTAGTTATGTTTGTTTTTTTTTTTTTTTTTTTTTGAGACAGGGTCTTGCTTTGTCACTGAGGCTGGGATGCAGCCTCAAACTTCTGGGCTCAAGTGATCCTTCCCCTGCTAGCCTCCCAAGTAGCTAGGACTACAGGAGTACATCACCATGCCTGGCTAATTTTGGTTTTTGTTTTTGTGTGGAGACGGGGTCTCACTATGTTGCACAGGCTGGTATTGAACCCTTGGGCCCAAGTGGTCTTCCTGCCTCAGCCTCCTAAAGCACTAGGACTACAGGTGTGAGCCACTGTGCCTGGCCTGGTTATGTTCTTTGGTTTGCCTTACTGACACTACCATTATTGCCATGAGGCAGAAGTCTGACCCCTCTAGGACAGTCTAAGACACAGGCATCTGGGGATGGGGACTTGGAAAGCAGCCACTTTGCAATGGGAATGCTATGACTGAGGATTCTCGGCTATGGGCAGCATAAGACCACTGGGTACCCAGTGGGTATGAAGGAAGTGAGAAGAGTTTCAGGGCAAGCTGTATAAGAGGTTATGTGACATTAAATAGGAAGTTTGTAGTAACCTACTTTTTATGCAACATGGCTCTGCCTGTTATTGAAAAGCATCTTACTTTAGCTGCTTGACCACTGAGAATCTATAAGAATGACCTCAGGGTCAAATATATGTAAGAAAATTGGGTGATTCATATTGCAACAGTGACTACTTCTTTGCGTACCTGCCCCTCAGTATGAGGTAGAAGAATCTCCGTCCCTGTTTTTAGCTTAGGATTATTTAAGAGACCTCCTGGCTTGATGCATACCTGGCCAGAAAGGGAATGAATGACTGTTGTGCACTGAATGCATATCCCTGCATCATAAGTCCAGTTTCTGAAGCTAAGTTTGTTATGACCTCTTGGACAACAGATCCCACCAGTAAATGTGGTTAAATGTCTTTAGCTTATTCAGCCATGGCAGAAGGTAATGGTGTCGAGTTTTTTGTGTTTAATGTCATACACTCATCATCTAAGGCCGGTAACAACTTGGGACAACATAAAAAAATGAGGTTGATTCAAGTCACAGAGAGAAAGTTTAAATGGAGAGAGCCTGAACTATGTTGCTGATTTCTTTTCTTTTCTTTCTCTCTGATGGAGTCTCACTCTGACTCCCAGGCTGGAGTGCAGTGGCACGATCTCGGCTCACTGCAAGCTCCGCCTCCTGGGTTCAAGCGATTCTTCTACCTCAGCCTCCTGAGTAGCTGGGATTACAGGTGCCTGCCACCACACCCAGCTAATTTTTGTATTTTTAGTAGAGACGGTGTTTTGCTGTGTTGGCCAGGCTGGTCTCAAACTCCTGATCTCAGGTGATCTGCCCGCCTCAGCTTCCCAAAGTGCTGGGATTACAGGGGTGAGCCACCGTGCCCAGCTGCTGATTTCTTAATCTGTGGCAAGGACTACTAGTTGCCTTTCCAAATTCCATTTTCAACTTTTCCTTTAGCAACAGAACATTAGCTTAGTTAAAGGCTATACTCAGCCTCCTTTGCGGTCAAGCTGATGTAAGTCAAAGTGTTGTGGGAAGCTCCAGAAAGGCTATTGAACTTGGCCCTTTAAGAAAGGGTAGACATTTTGTTTCTTTCTCCTTTCCTCTTTCTGCTGGTCTCAGATGTAATGGCTGGGATTCTAGCAGGCATCTTGGACCGTGAAGTGATATTGAAAATAGAAGCCTGACGTGAGATCACAGAGCAGGAAGACAGAATAAGCTCAAATCCTGAGTGACTCAAGCAACTGCAAGGCATGCATGATTGTGTGCAGACTTGAAAAGTTTATTTATTTAAAAGCTTTATTTATTTATTTTTTGATACAAGGTCTACTCTATTGCCTGGGCTGCTGAAGTGTAGTGGTGCAATAATAGCTCACTGCAGCCTTGAACTCCTGGGCTCAACCGATCCTCCTACCTCAGCCTCCCTAGTAGCTAGTACTACAGGCACACAACACCATGCCCAGCTAATTTTTGTATTTTTTTGTGTAGAGATGGGGTGTTGCTATGTGGCTCAGGATGGTCTCAAATTCCTGAGCTCAAGTGACTCTCCTGCCTTGGCTTGTTAAAGGGTTGGAGTTACAAGCATGAGTCACTGGGCCTCGCCAAAATTTTTTTAATATGAAAGAGAAACCCCTCCTATCTTAAGACACTGTTCTTTTTTTTTTTTTCTTCTGAGATGGAGTCCTCTCTGTCACCCAGGGTGGAGTGCAGTGGCACGATCTTGGCTCACTGCAAGCTCCACCTTCTGGGTTCACGCCATTCTCCTGCCTCAGCCTCCCGAATAGCTGGGACTACAGGCGCCCACCACCACGCCCGGCTAATTTTTTGTATTTTTAGTAGAGATGGGGTTTCACCATGTTAGCCAGGATGGTCTGGATCTCCTGACCTCGTGATCCGCCGGCCTCAGCCTCCCAAAGTGCTGGGATTACAGGCGTGAGCCACAGCGCCCGGCCTGAAGTAATTTTTGAGATTGGAATGATAATGTGGATATCAGCAGATTCTGAGACTCAGAAAGCATCCAGATAATGACACTGTCCCTGAAGGCTGCACTCTCTGGCTTTACTTCTGAGGAAATAAGTGGAACTCCAGCCTTCCACACTTCCCTCCCTCCACCAAATTGAAAGGTACTTCTCAAAGTAATCAGCGGAAATTACAATGAGCTTAGCAGCAGAGAGCTGGAGGCTAAATAAATGTGCCTTTAAATTTGACCTGTAGGTGAGCTGGATTGAGGCAGAACAAGGGTGGCTTTTAGATTTTTATTTTCCCTGAGCACATTTAATGCACGGGTAGCTGGGGAGAATCAGTGGGGGATAAAAACCCAACCTGATTTCCCAGGCTATCAATTCTGTCTACTTGACAGTGATTTCTCCCTTCCCTAGAGTGTTTTATAGGTTCTGTTAGTTGCAACCCTTTTTTCAAAGTCTTAGAATACTAACCTTTAATTTTATTTTAGAATGCATACTATAAAGATTGTGATTTATGGATCAATGTCTCATATTCATGAATAGCACTAGCTCATGGTATTAATGGGGAAAGGCAGATGAAATGGAAAGGAGCCGGAGGGTAGGCTGTGGTGGGGCACACTGTGAGGGGCAGAACTTGGGAAGCGGCCCAGGCGCTGAAGTCTTACCATGTGCTCCAGCAGTATGGACATTCACCCTTCGCTTCAGTGTCTTTGATATGTTGGCATGATTTCCTATTAAGAAGACCCAAATCATTTCAAATGACTGGTGATGTGTGTGAGAGTTTGCAGAACTGTATGTGTCTATGGCTGTGGAGAAAGAATGGGGGGGAACTCACTTCATTAATATTTTACAGTAACAACTACTTCTGAAAGGTTTTAAATGTAACTCGTGAAAAGCACCAACTTTCGTACATAACATTTTCTCCTTTCGAGATTGCTAATTTGTGGTGCAGTTTGCTATAAGATCATCTTGTTTTGCACTCTATCAATTTAATTCTGTTCTTTTATTTAAATTGCTCTGGTTCCTCCCTGTCCTTCAACAATCATTATTATTAGTAGCCTAACCACAGGTATATATCTAATGTTGTCTACTCTAATTAAAATACACAATTGTTTTCATGTTTGAGTGTTCATGCATCTCATATAATTTATTCCTTTGGAGTCTATCCAGTTTGCAAAACAGACAAAATTTTGAATGATTAAGGGCTGAATAAAATATTTTCTTGCCATTGCAAATTCAATTATGTTTTGTACTTTGCACTGGATAACAACTTAAGTTTCCTAAAAAGGCAAAAAATTTCAACACATCAATAAGCTGGACATGTACTGCATGACATTCCAGGTTCTTAGAAAATGAGATTGGAAATAGAACAAATGAATTGTGTCATTAGCACTGCCTCTTACTGGTTCCATGAAAGGAATAAAAAGGATTACTGCTTTACTCAGTAAGGGGAAAACTCTAAGACTTAGAACTTAAGGTGGACACAGCCTCTCTTAATTTCAAAGGAGCTACATTTTGAGCCAGATTTAGTGTGACCAGTTGTTCCAGTTTGCCTGGGATTGGGGGTGGGGGGTGGTTTTCTGAGACATAAGGCTTGGTCTTTCTGGCCACCAGCCCCCATCCTGAAGCTACCTAGGAGCTTATATGCTCCTGTAACTATTCAAAAAATTCCAAAAGTGTTTGGAGTTCTGTGCCAGGACCTGGGGACATAGACCAAATATGTTCCTCATTACACCACAGCTCCAGATTAGACTCATTCTCAGCAGCTCCCATGATAAGTATGACAACAGTATTTACAAATATCCCAGGGTTTTTCATCACTCTCCTAATGAAAACACTTAGAGAAAGTGAAAACAGGAGTGTGTGCCCCACTACAAAGTCTCACCTGTGAGTCTTTTACCTCAGGAATATTGTTCCTTAGGTTAAGTCATGAGAATTGTACTCTTGGACTCACGGTCCAATCCGTTCCCTCTTTTTCAATGTCCTCGTACTGTAATTTATCCCAGCTCTCTCAAGTATCTTCTCTCTCTCTCTGCCTTTTATTTTGCTCTTAAATATTCATTAAAAAGAGTATTCATTTATTTCCACGTCCCTCTCTAGGTTCCCATTGATTTCTTCATCTTTAGAATCAAATTTCTTGACCATGTTGCCTACTAGTCATCTTCATTTTCTTATCTCCAGATCACTTTTCAGCACTTTCCAAGCTGGTGTTCATCTCTTCCACTTCTTGAAACTTCTCTTGTCAGTGTTGACCTCTAACATTCCTAATCCAATGGACCCTTTTGGTCTGTTCTTTCTTGAACTTTCACCACTGTTCCACTCTGTGGTCCTCTTTTTTCCTCTTGGAGCTTTCTCTTCACTTGGCTTTCATGTATGACACCCACTTGCTCACTTGCTTTTCCTCTTACTGCTCTGGCCATTCCTTTAAAAAATGCTTTTTTGGGGCTGGGCACGGTGGCTCATGCCTGTAATCCTAGCACTTCGGGAGGCCAAGGCGGGTGGACTGCTTGAAACCAGCCTGGCCAGCATAGGGAGGCCCTGTCTCTACAAAACAAATTAGCCAGTGTGGTGGCATGTGCCTGTAGTCCCACCTACTCTGAGGGCTGAGGTGGGAGGATTGCTTAAGCCTGGGAAGTGGAGGCTGGCAGTGAGCCATTTTCATGCCATTGCATTCCAGCCTGGGCGACAGAGCAAAACCCCATCTCAAAAAACCAGAAATTCTTTTCTATTTCTTTCTTCTTTTTTCATTATTGTTCCTAAGAGGATAGGTTCTAAGCTTTCTTCACCTCAAACTTGTATTACTCTCATAGATTAAATCACATTTATGGCTTCAATAACCATAAATAAGCAGACTACTTCTAAATCAGTATTTTTACAGACTTGGTGTCAAAAAGCCTACTAGACATTTACACTATACATTTTATCTAAAATTCAACATGCTTAAGTCTGGATTTGGGTTTTTCCCTCCAAAACCACCCAATTGCTTTGATCAGAAACAAGGAAGTAACTGTTGAGTTCCCCCACATCTTCAACATTCTACAGATTCCCCACGAATCATTGAAAAGGGAAGCATCCTGCGTATTGCTTAAGAGAGCAGTTTTCTCATAAGTAATGTGTGAAGCTGTTCACTTCTCTCCAAACTCATTGCTACCATCTGCTCATCTCTCACCTGTACTGTAACAGGCTCTCACCTGGAAGCACTTGCATTAAATTTTGCTTCCGTTCAACCAGTTTCTTCACTGCAGCCAGGATGATGATTTAAAAAAAAAAATACAGATCTGGTAATGTCAGGTTGCCTAAAAAAGCTGCTCATGGTCCCTTGGTTCAACTCTCAAATTTACAAATTCCTTCTTTATTATCTGGCCAATCCCTTCACCCTAGTCTCAAAACACTCTTCCTCAACCTTTCTACAATCTAGCCCTATTGAATTTTTTAAACTCTTCAAACGCACCTGCCCAATGCCCTTTAAATATGCAGTTATCTCTGTGTTGAAACTCTTTATTTTTTGATACCTGGTCATCCAGGTGTCAGCTTAAATGTCAGTTTGCGGGCCAGTGGTTGTCAATTCTTGGCTCCAAATTAGAATTAGCTGGGAAAGTTTTTTGTTTTTTTTTTTTAAATCAATGATCCAATTTAATTGCTCTCCGATAGGGTGTGAATCAGAGTCACCTAGAGGGCTTGTTAATCCCTGTCACCTGGTAATAATGGTACTGCTATCTGGGAACCACGCTCTGAAACCAGTGCTCTAGATTAGACTAAGTTTGAGCTCCAGCAAAGTGCTTTCACAGCACATGTGCAGCCTTTAGCACACATGCCTATCATACTTTATTATTATTGGTTTTAAAAAATTTGTCTTTCCTGCTGAAAAGAAGGGCAGTTCTTCCTTTGTTTGGCCGGGCACCCTAGCTTTCTTGTTTACCTTGGTATCCCTTAGGGTCTAGCACTATGACTGGCGCATAATAAGAATTTACTTAATATTTGTTGAATGAATGAATAAAAGGCTAAGTTTGGGTAAGAAAGTGGTGTCTAGATTATCCATCAATCACTTAAGGCAGTATTTTTTTTTTTTTTCTGAGTCTGCTTGCTAGAGAATAAGGCAGTAATTAAATAGAGGTGAGACTAGGGTTTGGTATCTATTTGTAACTAGTTTCAAGTTTGTATTTTGGTTTATTCATTCAATATCTGATTGAGGACAGAACATGTGTCTTGAGATGCTTCTGCATCCTAATTCTCGCCCTCATCTCCACCACTATGCTGCACATACGCGAAAGGCAGTAAGCAAATATATTTTGGATGATTGTGATGCAAGACAATCCCGTGAACATCTGGAACTTATTTGTGGTGTGTATATGTGTGTGGTTACATGTTTGTGTGTGTGGTTGTGTATATTTTAGAAATGTCTTAAGCAGAATCACAGAAGAACAGAAGTTGTAATTGTATAGTACTCCATTTCTAGACAATTTAATTCTTTAGAATTGACTATCCAGAAACTTCCTTCAGCCTGGATTGGGTTGTTGTAGATTGAATTGCTTTTTTAATTTTTATTTTTTATTTTTGAGACAAGGTCTTGCTGTATTACCCAGGATGGGGTGGAGTGGTGTGAAAATAGCTCACTGCAGCCTCAACATCCTGGGTTCAAGTGATCCTTCCTCAGCCTCTTTAGTAGCCGGGGTCACAGTTGCTCACAATCATGCCTGGCTAACCTTTTATGTTTTGTAGATATGGAGGTCTCATTATGTTGCCCAGGCTGGTATTGAACTCCTGCCCTCAAGCAATTCTCCCACCTCAGGCTCTCAAAGTGCTAGGATTATAAGTGACCAAGACCAGCTGAGTTACCTTTTTGAGGGATGTTCTAAAGTAGACCCAAACACTTTTATTGCCTGCATGCTGTCTTGAATGTATTATTTATTGAGTGAAAGATGATTATAAATCATAGTTTGTATTTACAAAATATTATATGCTTATTTATAGTTATATTTATTGAATACTTTCTATATGAAGCATAATCTTAGAAAAGACACACATTTTCTGCCCTCCAGTTTTGTATGAGAGACGTGTGAGTAAGCCAATGATTACAATACAGCAGTGTAAGTGCTGGAGTAAGCATAGTAAATACGTAAAGACTACCTTGGGAATACCCAGGTCCTACTCCCAGACAAGCAGGGACCTGCCATGTTGTGTTTTAGCAACACAGGATGTTAGTCTGAGTGGCAGTGGGGGTGTTAAGGCAGGTTATTTCTTGTCTGTGGGCCACACCCAGGGGCACATTCTGAGATTTAGAGAATGTGAAGAAATGCCAAGAAAAGAAATAGATCAGACTGTTCAGTCCTTGGGGATTCAGAGATGTGGTTCAGTAGGACCATGCACACCAGAAAATGTGCAAAACTTCATATGTATATGTGAATCTTTTGAAATGAAAGCTCACGGTTTGATCATGTTCTCAAAGGGGCCTATGGTTGCCACAAGAATTAGAACCATTGTTCTAATGTATAAACTGATGGAGGAGGGAGATGAACTGATGAAGTGATCCTGTACCGGGATTTCCCTAGGACTTTTCCCCAAATTACAGAAGTCATCTGTTGCAGATGATACATTAAAAAAATTTGTAAGTCAAACCATACTTTGAATATGCTAGGTTAACTCACTAAGGAAACTTG
Source organism: Homo sapiens (assembly GCF_000001405.40). Lineage (NCBI taxonomy): Eukaryota > Metazoa > Chordata > Mammalia > Primates > Hominidae > Homo > Homo sapiens. The sequence goes on from NC_000006.12 coordinate 18,353,533, forward strand.
GGTTGAGTTATTTTGTGAAGTAAGAAATTGAAGAAAAACATCTTTGTGTATTCATAAGTTCTGTTTTTTTTTTTATGTAGCCCTCCTATCAAGATGGCCAAAGCAATACCACTACTGCCACCATGATTACTACTCCAGTGAATTGTTCTAGAAGCTATACTTCATGTTTATTATGTGCCAGATGCTGTACATATGTTTTTCTGATTTTCACAGCAACTATATATGACAGTTGTTATCTGCATTTCCTTTCTTTTTTTTTTTTAAATATACTTTAAGTTCTAGGGTACATGTGCACAATGTGCAGGTTTGTTACATATGTATACAAGTGCCATGTTGGTGTGCTGCACCCGTTAACTCGTCGTTTATATTAGGTATATCTCCTAATGCTATCCCTCCCCCCTCTCCCCACCCCACGACAGGCCCCAGTGTGTGATGTTCCCCACCCTGTGTCCAAGTGTTCTCATTGTTCAATTCCCACCTATGAGTGAGAATATGCGGTGTTTGGTTTTCTGTCCTTGCGACAGTTTGCTCAGAATGATGGTTTCTAGCTTCATCCATGTCCCTACAAAGGACATGAACTCATCATTTTTTGTGGCTGCATAGTATTCCATGGTGTATATGTGCCACATTTTCTTAATCCAGTCTATCACTGATGGACATTTGAGTTGGTTCCAAGTCTTTGCTATTGTGAATATTGCTGCAGTAAACATACGCGTGCATGTGTCTTTATAGCAGCATGATTTATAATCCTTTGGGTATATGCCCAGTAATGGGATGGCTGGGTAAAATGGTATTTCTGGTTCTAGATCCTTGAGGAATCGCCACACTGTCTTCCACAATGGTTGTAATAGTTTACAGTCCCACCAATAGTGTAAAAGTGTTCCTATTTCTCCACATCCTCTCCAGCACCTGTTGTTTCCTGACTTTTTAATGATCGCCATTCTAACTGGTGTGAGATGGTGTCTCATTGTGGTTTTGATTTGCATATCTCTGATGGCCAGTGATGATGAGCATTTTTTCATGTGTCTGTTGGCTACATACATGTCTTCTTTTGAGAAGTGTCTGTTCATATCCTTTGCCCACTTTTTGATGGTGTTGTTTGATTTTTTCTTGTAAATTTGTTTAAGTTCTTTGTAGATTCTGGATATTAGCCCTTTGTCACATGGGTAGATTGCAAAAATTTTCTCCCATTCTGTAGGTTGCCTGTTCACTCTGATGGTAGTTTCTTTTGCTGTGCAGAATCTCTTTAGTTTAATTAGATCCTATTTGTCAATTTTGGCTTTTGTTGCCATTGCTTTTGGTGTTTCAGTCATGAAGTCCTTGCCCATGGCTATGGCCTGAATGGTATTGCCTAGGTTTTCTTCTAGGGTTTTTATGGTTTTAGGTCTAACATTTAAGTCTTTAATCCATCTTGAATTAATTTGTGTATAAGGTGTAAGGAAGGGATCCAGTTTCAGCTTTCTATATATGGCTAGCCAGTTTTCCCAGCACCGTTTATTAAATAGGGAATCCTTTCCCCATTTCTTGTTTCTGTCAGGTTTGTCAAAGATCATATGGTTGAAGATGTGTGGTATTATTTCTGAGGCCTCTGTTCTGTTCCATTGGTCTATATCTCTGTTTTGGTACCAGTACCATGCTGTTTTGGTTACTGCAGCCTTGTAGTATAGGTTGAAGTCAGGTAGCATGATGCCTCCAGCTTTGTTGTTTTTGCTTAGGATTGTCTTGGCAATGCGGGCGCTTTTTTGGTTCCATATGAACTTTAAAGTAGTTTTTTTCCAATTCTATGAAGAAAGTCATTGGTAGGTTGATGGGGATGGCATTGAATCTATAAATTACCTTGGGCAGTATGGCCATTTTCAAGATACTGATTCTTTCTATCCATGACCATGGAATGTTCTTCCATTTGTTTGTGTCCTCTTTTATTTTGTTGAGCAGTGGTTTGTAGTTCTTCTTGAAGAGGTCCTTCACATCCCTTTAAGTTGGATTCCTAGGTATTTTATTCTCTTTGAAGCAATTATGAATGAGAGTTCACTCATGATTTGGCTCTCTGTTATTGGTATTTGGGAATGCTTGTGATTTTTGCACATTGATTTTGTATCCTGAGACTTTGCTGAAGTTGCTTATCAGTTTAAGGAGATTTTGGGCTGAGACGATGGGGTTTTCTAAATATACAATCATGTCATCTGCAAACAGGGACAATTTGACTTCCTCTTTTCCTAATTGAATACCCTTTATTTCTTTCTCTTGGCTGACTGCCCTGGCCAGAACTTCCAACACTATGTTGAATAGGAGTGGTGAGAAAACTGTCTTGTGCCAGTTTTCAAAGGGAATGCTTCCAGTTTTTGCCCATTCAGTATGATATTGGCTGTGGGTTTTGTCATAAATAGCTCTTATTATTTTGAGATATGTCACATCAATACCTAGTTTATTGAGTTTTTAGCATGAAGTGTTGTTGAATTTTGTTGAAGGCCTTTTCTGCATCTATTGAGATAATCATGTGGTTTTTGTCTTTGGTTCTGTTTATATGATGGATTACATTTATTGATTTGTGTATGTTGAACCAGCCTTGCATCCCAGGGATGAAGCCAACTTGATCGTGGTGGATAAGCTTTTTGATGTGCTGCTGGATTCGGTTTGTCTGTATTTTATTGAGGATTTTTGCATCGATGTTCATCAGGGATATTGGTCTAAACTTCTCTTTTTTTGTTGTGTCTCTGCCAGGCTTTGGTATCAGGATGATGTTGGCCTCATAAAATGAATTAGGGAGGACTCCTTCTTTTTCTATTGATTGGAATAGTTTCAGAAGGAATGGTACCAGCTCCTCTTTGTACCTCTGGTAGACTTCAGCTGTGAATCCATCTGGTCCTGGACTTTTTTTGGTGGGTAGGCTATTAATTATTGCCTCAATTTCAGAACCTGTTATTGGTCTGTTCACAGATTCAGCTTCTTCCTGGTTTAGTCTTGGGAGGGTGTATGTGTCCAGGAATTTATCCATTTCATCTAGATTTTCTAGTTTATTTGCATAGAGGTGTTTATAGTATTCTCTGATGGTAGTTTGTATTTCTGTGGGATTGGTGGTGATATCCCCTTTATCATTTTTTATTTCGTCTATTTGATTCTTCTCTCTTTTCTTCTTTATTAGTCTTGCTAGCAGTCTATCAGTTTTATTGATCTTTTCAAAAAACCAGCTCCTGAATTCATTGATTTTTTGAAGGGTTTTTTGTGTCTCTATCTCCTTTGGTTCTGCTCTGATCTTAGTTATTTCTTGCCTTCTGCTGGCTTTTGAATGTGTTTGCTCTTGCTTCTCTAGTTCTTTTAATTGTGATGTTAGGGTGTCAATTTTAGATCTTTCCTGCTTTCTCTTGTGGGCATTTAGTGCTATAAATTTCCCTCTACACACTGCTTTAAATGTGTCCCAGAGATTCTGGTATGTTGTGTCTTTGTTCTCATTGGTTTCAAATAACATCTTTATTTCTGCCTTCATTTCGTTATGTGCCCAGTAGTCATTCAGGAGCAGGTTGTTCAGTTTCACGTAGTTGAGCGGTTTTGAGTGAGTTTCTTAATCCTGAGTTCTAGTTTGATTGCACTGTGGTATGAGAGAGAGTTTGTTATAATTTCTATTCTTTTACATTTGCTGAGGAGTGCTTTACTTCCAACTATGTGGTCAATTTTGGAATAAGTGTGGTGTGGTGCTGAGAAGAATGTATATTCTGTTGATTTGGGGTGGAGAGTTCTGTAGATGTGTATTAGGTCCGCTTGGTGCAGAGCTGAGTTCAATTCCTGGATATCTTTGTTAACTTTCTGTCTCATTGATCTGTCTAATGTTGACAGTGGGGTGTTAAAGTCTCCCATTATTATTGTGTGGGAGTCTAAGTCTCTTTGTAGGTCTTTAAGGACTTGCTTTATGAATGTGCATACTCTTGTATTGGGTGCATATATATTTAGGATAGTTAGTGCTTCTTGTTGAATTGATCCCCTTACCATTATGTAATGGCCTTCTTTGTCTCTTTTGATCTTTGTTGGTTTAAAGTCTGTTTTATCAGAGACTAGGATTGCAACCCCTGTTTTTTTTTGTTTTCCATTGGCTTGGTAGATCTTCCTCCATCCCTTTATTTTGAGCCAATGTGTGTCTCTGCACGTGAGATGGGTCTCCTGAATACAGCACACTGATGGGTCTTGACTCTTTATCCAGTTTGCCAGTCTGTGTCTTTTAATTGGAGAATTTAGCCCATTTACATTTAAGGTTAATATTGTTATGTGTGAATTTGATCCTGTCATTATGATGTTAGCTGGTTATTTTGCTCGTTAGTTGATGCAGTTTCTTCCTAGCATCGATGGTCTTTACAATTTGGCATGTTTTTGCAGTGGCTGGTACCGGTTGTTCCTTTCCATGTTTAGTGCTTCCTTTAGGAGCTCTTGTAAGGCAGGCCTGGTGGTGACAAAATCTCTCAGCATTTGTTTGTCTGTAAAGGATTTTATTTCTCCATCACTTATGAAGCTTAGTTTGGCTGGATATGAAATTCTGAGTTGAAAATTCTTTTCTTTAAGAATGTTGAATATTGGCCCTCACTCTCTTCTGGCTTGTAGGGTTTGTGCCAAGAGATCCACTGTTAGTCTGATGGGCTTCCCTTTTTGGGTAGCCCGACCTTTCACTCTGGCTGCCCTTAACATTTTTTCCTTCATTTCAACTTTGGTGAATCTGACAATTATGTGTCTTGGAGTTGCTCTTCTCAAGGAGTATTTTTGTGGTGTTCTCTGTATTTCCTGAATTTGAATGTTGGCCTGCCTTCCTAGGTTGGGGAAGTTCTCCTGGATAATATCCTGAAGAGTGTTTTCCAACTTGTTTCCATTCTCCCCGTCACTTTCAGGTACACCAATCAGATGTAGATTTGGTCTTTTCACATAGTCCCATATTTCTTGGATACTTTGTTCATTTCTTTTTACTCTTTTTTCTCTAAACTTCTCTTCTTGCTTCATTTCACTCATTTGCTCTTCAATCACTGATACCCTTTCTTCCACTTGATCAAATCAGCTATGGAAACTTGTGCATGCGTCACGTAGTTCTCATGCCATGGTTTTCAGTGCCATCAGGTCATTTAAGGACTTCTCTACAGTGTTTATTGTATTTAGCCATTCATCTAATCTTTTTTCAAGGTTTTTAGCTTCTTTGCTATAGGTTTGAACATCTTCCTTTAGCTCGGAGAAGTTTGTTATACTGATCGTCAGAAGCCTTCTTCTCTCAACTCATCAAAGTCATTGTCCGTGCAGCTTTGTTCCGTTGCTGGCAAGGGGCTGTGTTCCTTTGGAGGAGAAGAGGTGCTCTGATTTTTAGAATTTTCAGCTTTTCTTCTCTGGTTTCTCCCCATCTTTGTGCTTTTATCTACCTTTGGTCTTTGATGATGGTGACGTACAGATGGGGTTTTGGTGTGGATGTCCTTTCTGTTTGTTAGTTTTCCTTCTAACAGTCAGGACCCTCAGCTGCAGGTCTGTTGGAGTTTGCTGGAGGTCCACTCCAGACCCTGTTTGCTTGGGTATCACCAGCGGAGGCTGCAGAACAGCAAATATTTTAGAACGGCAGATGTTGCTGCCTGATCCTTCCTCTGGAAGCCTCATCTCAGAGTGGCACCCAGCTGTATGAGGTGTCAGTCGGCCCCTACTGGGAGGTGTCTCCCTGTTAGCCTACTCAGGGGTCAGGGGCCCACTTGAGGAGGCAGTCTGTCCGTTCTCAGATCTCAAACTCCATGCTGGGAGAACTACAACTCTTTTCAAAGCTGTCAGACAGGGATGTTTCATTATCTGCATTTTCTAGTAAGGAAACCTAGGATCAGACAGGCTGTGAAACTAGTAGTGAGTTTTATGTCCTTACTCTGGACTAGACAGCTGATATTCAGGGGAGCCATGATGTGAACCCAGCATTGGTAGATTCAAAAGTCTATGCTCTTTTCATTGCAGAATCATCTTTTAATTTTTGGTAATGTGGTTTTACTCCAGGTGTGTCTAGTTTCAAATAACTGAAATAAATTTGAACTACTTTTTTAAAAAAGGAAAAGTTGTTTTAAAGACAAGGAGTCTCTTGAGGAACCTAAAGATAGGACTCCAGCTGGCTTCTAGGAGGAACTGGAACTGAGAACTGTTTAGCTAGAGTTCTGTTCCTCTGACTCTTCCCTCCTGTCTTGCACATCTGCTTTATGTTCTGTCTGTAGTTTTCTCTGCTGCTTGTGTAGATGACAGAATATGGGTGCTGCACAGCTTTGACCAGGCACAGAGATGAGCTGTCCCTAAATCCAAATTCCTAGTAGGGAAAATCTGATTGACTCTGCTTCATTTGTATTTTTATTTATTTTTAAGACAGGGCCTTGCTTTGTCACCCAGGCTGGAGTGCAGTGGCACCATCATGGCTCACTACAGTGTTGACCTCCTGGGTTCAAGTGACCCTCCTGTCTCAGCCTCCTAAGTATTATAGCTGGGACTACAGGCACATGCCACCAGCTAATTTAGCCCAGCTAATTCTTTTCTTTTCTCTTTTCTTTTTCCTTTTTTTCCTCCCTTCCTTCCTTCCTTCCTGCCTCCCTTCCCTTCATTCTTTCTTTCATTCTTTCCTTTTTTTTTTTTTTTTCAAGGTCTTGCTCTGTTGCCCAGGCTGGTCTCTAACTCCTGGCCTCAAGCAATCATCCTGTCTTAGCCTCCTAAAGTGTTGGGGTTACAGGCATGAGCCACTGCACCTGGCTGGCTCTCCTTTCAACAGACATCCATCGTGAGTCCAATCAGCTTTTAGCCAAGAAGGCAGAATTACATAAACCAGACATGGCTGCCACTCATGGCACCAGTTTTGACTGGTAGGAATGTGTGACTCTAGTCTTTTCTCACTCATCTGGTATGGCTGCAGCCTATTCTGTGTACTCTGTTACATGGAGAAGTCTAATAGTTTCCTTTCCTGTTTGACCCATGATTATAGCTCTTTGAAGAGCAAATAAGACTAGGACAGGTGTGGCCAATATGCTGACATGTCAGTGATTTTCTTCTTTTGAAACACATCCTCATTGTTTCCACAATCTCATTCCTTATAGCCTGATTTTCCCCCACCCCACCCCACCTGTCTCATATAGGAATACAGTTAGAGTATCTGCTCAAAAGAAATCACCCACTTTCTTTGGAGCTCAACTTTTCACTTGGGCTACAGCTCCAACTGACTCCCTTTGCCAATATAAACCCCTCCCCAAACTTGTTGTGCTTATTCTCTATGATAATGTTGAGAGTCCTTTTCCCAGTTGTCACTACTTATCCAGAAGTTGGTCCACTTTTTCTCATTGGGCACACTGAGAAGAATAAATTCACGAGGGCTCTTAGGAACAAATGGTGGTCACCAACTCTTTTCTCAATTGAAGTAGCTCCAATGGAAGGGGGTCAAATCTCAACACCCAGTTACATACATGTATACTTTCTGTTTTCTTCTACAGCTGTAAAGAAAAGGAAACTCAAGAGGAAAAAATTATTGTTACATTTTTTGTAGGTGGTCCCAAACTTACGAATGTTTAGGGTTCCTAAATGTTTAGCGTTCTAGTTGTTTAGAACTTGGAACTTATTTTATTTTGGATACAATACTGTACTTGCTGCTTTAGGTTTCTAGCCAAACTGCAAATAATAATTTGGCCTACAATATAGCTGATTTGACCTTGAATTATGACCTCGAAATTTACCTTACCCTTAAAATTAGAGTCTGAACTCTTCTGGTCAATAGCCTGAATTCATTAGCTTTCTAGATACTCATTCCCCTAAGCTTCTCTAAAGTTTGGTACTCCCTGGAACCTCTGTTTTCCTCTTACTGTAGAGGAGGTAGGGGGACAACATAGAGGTATGTAAGTGGATGATGGATGTGGGCTCCAGGTATTGAAAGATGTAGTGGCAGTAGATGGTACAAAAAGAAGGATAGGACTGAGTAGAAAGTAGTGAGTTTTATGACCTTAGTGATGCTCAAAAAAAGAGGAGGCTGGTGAAGAGGAATAGGGTGGAAAGAATGGCTGGCTGCAATTGTTGATAAATAGATATTGCATGTAGTCAATGTCTACATTTAAAATATTAACTATTTTTTGTATGCAATTCTTTGAGTTGCTCTTCCCGCCCCCCCCCCCCCATTATTTTTTTTTATCTTACTTATTTGTTTGTTTGTTTTGAGACAGGGTCTCACTCTGTCACCCAGGCTGGAGTGCAGTGGTGTGATCATGGCTTACTGCAGCCTCAACCTCTCAGGCTCAAGTGATCCTCCGGCTTCAGCCTCCCAGGTAGCTGGAACAACAGATGCATGTCTCCACACCCAGCTAATATTTTGATTATTTGTAAAAACGAGGTCTCCCTATATTGGCCAGGTTGGTCTTGAACTTCTGGGCTCAAGTGATTCTGCCACCTTGGCCTCCCAAAGTGCTGGGATTACAGGTGTGAGCCACTGCGCTGTGCCTATCTTTCTTCTCCATTAACCTGCAGTAAATAGAGAATAAATTTTACAGCATTCATCATTTGTTTAGCTGGGTCCCTGAACTTGCCTCCCTGGGATAAGGCACCATGACTGCACAGATCCAGCCAGATAATAGAAGGTGTGCACTGGCTTCTCACTGCATGGCTATGTAGTGTAATCACAGCGTGCCTTTGTGGGGCTCCTGTTTATGTGGCTTTAGTAGATGATTTCATCCTCTTTTCTGACTTGGAACCAGACAACTTTACATTCTCAGCAAACAGATGGACAACAGGGTTGAAATAAGATCTTGTACTGAAATAGTCCTTGAGTCATACTCCTTGACTGTTCTCTCATACGGGAAACTTGCCTCTTCCTTCTTGCAGAAGGCCAAGGCTGAGAATTCAGTGTACTCAGAGTTGCTGGACTCTTTTCTCAATATATATTATGTTGGATATTTTTCTTCTTGGTCAAGATTGAGAGTCTGCCAGTATAAGAATATTATCTAATTTGTTTTGGCAGAACACCTGGCCTTTTGCCCCAAGCAGATGTTTAAAAATAGAACTAAAAGTTTTGCATTAACTTGTTTTTGTCCTCTTTCCAAAAAAGATCCTGACATGAGAAAAAAGGGGAGCTTGATTTTACCTATGGTTTTATTTGGGAAGCAAGGGTGCTCTAGTTCAGGGGTGTCCAATCTTTTGGCTTCCCTGGGCCACATTGGAAGAAGAAGAATTTTCTTGGGCCACACATAAAATACACTAACATTAATGACAGCCAATGAGCTAAAAAAAATTGCAAAAAAAATTGTATAATGTTTTAAGAAAGTTTACAAATTTGTGTTAGGCTGCATTCAAAACCATCTTGGGTCACAGGGCTGCAGGCTGTACAAGCTTGCTCTAGCTGAAACTCACCTGACTTGGTCATTGGCTTCTAGTGTACATTGTGCCAGTAACTGTGTGACCTTGGGAAAGTCAGTTCGTCTTTCAATGCTGTTTCCCCATCTGTAAAATGGGAGTGATAAAACCTCAACTGAAGGGTTGTTGTAAGTATTAAATGAAATGACATTTGTGAAAGTATTCAGATGAGATAATAGTGCTGTATTAACATAGATTTTTTTAAAGGTACAAAAAGAATTATATTAAATCAGTAACATACATTTATATGTATGAGGGAGGGATATTTAAAATTAAAATATTATATAATCACAAGAAAGACCTTGCTCTTCCCTTGGGCATCCAAGAAAATTAAAGCCTGTTTTATATCACCAAAATGAAAAAGACGCTTGATAGAAGTAACAGTGCTCAATGCTTGGAACCCAACTCAATTCATACTCTTGTTAGATAAGTCCAAATTCTAAAGGCTACAAAAATCCTGTTAAATCAAGGGGAAAAAATTAATTTTAGGATAAAGTTATTCAAGATGAAAGAAAGGCATGTCTTCAGTGAGAGAACTGCCTGCTGTCGGATGATATCTTGCTAATGTATTTAAAGATTTTGGACTTTTCAATTTTCTTGATTTTCTGGTAGCCAAATCCACCACCACCCCCTTGCTTTTTCTGCTTGGCTTCATTGCAGTTGATGTTCAGATCAACAAAGGGAGTCACCTTGAAACCAAATGACAGAGCAACTTGAGGCAAATTTAAGTTATTAACATTAAAGATCTGTTTCAGAGAATGGTAATCATAGGCTTGTATGTACGGCTTATATGGTTTCTGGGCTGACTTACGAAGAAAGTAGTTCTTTTCAATCAATTTCTCAAGCTGGGACTTAATGTCAGAAATTTTAGACCAGAAAAATTCTAATAAACTCAATGGAACCTTGGATTGTTTCAAGTAGCGAAGAAAACCCAATTATTCTGGGCACAAAATGAGCAGGGCATGCCCTCTCCCATTTAGGCCTCTGGCTGTTCTGCCCACACAATGAATATATTCCTTAGGGTCATCCGGAGGGTCATACTGAACAATCCAGTCAACTTCAGGAATGTCCAGTCCTCTTGTTGCCACATCCGTACACAATAGTGTTCCTGAATCTGGGTTGCAGAACTGGAAGAATGTGGTTGTACACTTATTTTGCTTTTGCTTTCCATGAATGGCCACGTAGGGCAAATCAATGTAGTTCAGCAACTCATAGGGGTATTTCACGGACATACAAGATGAAAAGAAGGCCATAAGCTTCTTCTTTTGTTTCTTCTTAAGGAATGTAAAGAGCAGAAGGAATCTCTTTTTGGAAGGACAAACAACATATCCCTGCTCAAGACCATTCACTGTTGCATTAGCTTTATCATCATCAACACCAAAATACAATGGCTCCTTTTTCAGAGAAATCCTTGCCAGGCCTTCAACTTTTTGAGTTTGGGTGGCAGAAAAGAGCATAGTCTGTCTACATGTTGGCAAAAGTTTAATAACTTGCTTTAATTCCTCTTCAAACCCAACATCCAAGATATGATCAGCTTCATCAATAACCAGACACTGCAGGTTTTTATACATAAACCCTGGGGTATTCTGCATATGGTCCAGCAGACAGCGTGGTGTGGCCACAATGATGTTGATCCCATTAGCAAGTTTCTGTGCTTCAGCAGATCTGTTACTGCCACCCATTATCAACCCATAGGTATGTACCTGGCAAGTCTTTAGCTCCGTAAGAACACCAAAAGTTTGCATGGCTAGTTCTCAAGTAGGAGAGAATGACTCCCGTTCCATTCCTGGGCATGAACTTTAACTTAACAATGAGTTCAACTGCAGGGATGAGAAAAGCCAGGGTTTTACCACTGCCTGTTTTTGCAGCTGCCAGAAGTCCCTGCCTTCCAGAAGTGGTCTGATACTTTTGTGCTGAATTTCAGTCATGTTTGTAAAACCCATTTCTTTTATTGCCTTCAGAGTGTTTTCATTGACAAGATTATGTAGAGAAACAAATGAAGTATCCTCAAAAGCTCCTGTCAGTCCCAGGGGCAGGCTGGGCACCTCACTATCATCTTCATCATTATCTGGCTTCTCCACATTATTTTCTGTTTCTTTAGGAGTCTCTGCACTTTCTTCTTCAGATTCCCCTTTGTTTTCAGTTTTTGCTTTTTTTGTATCAGGCACAACATCGTTCAGCATTTTTCTCTTTTTCTTCTTCTTTTTCTTTTTTGATTCTGAATTGGGAGACTGCATTGCTGCTTCTCCATTGATTAATATGGTGGATTTCTGGGGAGATTTTTTAACTTTTATATTTTCCACTGCTTCTTGAGACATGTCTCCATTTGGAGCTCCTGATAAGCCCATGTTCATAGAATGTTTTGATTTTTTAACCTTTCCACCTCCCATTGTTTCTTCAGACACATTTCCATTTTGAGTTTCTGATAGGGTCAGATTTGAGGCCCCCTGCAACTTTAGGTTCTGCTGCCGCAATTTGAGGTTCCGCTTTTGTATCTTCTTGCACAGGAGTTTCATCCGCAGGTGAGACATGCTGTCCAAGAAGTGCCTAGACCACGGCGCCACACAGTCAACATAGATTTTTGATATGGTTTGGCTGTATCCCCCACCCAAATCTCACCTTGAATTGTAATAATCCCATGTGTCAAGGGCAGGGCAAGGTAGAGATAATTGAATCATGGGGTGGTTTCCCCCATAGTGTTCTCATGGTAGTGAATAAGTCTCACAAGACCTGATGATTTTATAAATGGGAGTTCCCCTGCCCAAGCTCTCTTGTCTGCCACCATGTAAGATGTGCCTTTGCTTCTCCTTTGCCTTCTGCCATGATTGTGAGGCCTCCCCAGCTCTGCGGAACTGTGAGTCCATTAAACCTCTTTCCTTTATAAATTACCCACTCTTGGGTATGTCTTTATTAGCAGCATGAGAATGAACTAATATAATGTTGTTTAATTTTCAGAGATTAGAACTATCCTTCCTCTATAACAAAATAGTTCATAATGAGCAAGGAGTAATTAATCCACTTAAATATTTACTTATTCTAAACTAAGTATATTTGCTCACTGCCTTTTATTCAATCCTTGCTGGAGAGAGTTAATAATGTTGACCTGTGATTTCATTTTTTTTTTTGAGATCTGCTTGATTTATTCCGATTATTTAATACACAGTGACATAACTGTGATCCCAAAGAGTGCAGAGTTAAAGCCTTCAACTGCAGCTGAGGAGAGGGCAGGAATGGTACACCTGCGGATGATGGTGAGTCAGGAATGATGGGCAGGGGGCCATGACCAGGATAGCCTCCTCCCCAGGGCCTGGGACAGGGGAGTGGCCTGAGGAACAGGACCCAAGGGTAGCCCAGTGCCAGGGAAGGGGTCAGAGACCTCCCCCTGGCCTAGGTCTGGAGCTCAGAACTGCCACATGGCTGAGGGGGCAGCAGCCTGGGAAGGACCAGAGGCAGGGCCAGGAGAGCACCATTTCCTGGGGGGCTGAGGGCAGGGAGGTGCCCTACAGGAGAAGCCAGGAGGGGCCACCTGCTCCTGGGGTGGGGGCCAGGCTGGAGCAGGCTGCAGCAAGAAAGACCTGAGGCAGGTGCAGGGCCTGAGAGCCTAGGGGGATGGTGTGGGGGTGCTCCCAGGGCAGCCTGGCCCAGGGAGCAGTCCTGACTCAGCAGAGGATACCCAGGGAGGGGCTGCAGACCCCTCAGGACCTCCCCTCCTCTCTCCCTGGAAAGGAGCTGGGGAACCTGTAGTGCAAATCTGTGGACCACTCAGTTATGGAGGGAGGCTGTGCCTGAAGGGGGGACACTGGGGTGCGCCCCGTCCACCATCTCGGCCTCCACCACTGTCCTCAGTACAGCCGCTTCTCGTGAGAGCACAGGCCATGGACACCACCCTCGATCTGGGCCAACACGGTCTGCTTCTCAAACTTGAGCCCTCCTGAGTACATCATGGACCAAAGGACAGACAGTCTGTGGCCCCGATATCCTGGCAGCCATGCTGGATGCCCGCTATGAGGTAGGGCATGAACTTCTAAATGGAACCTTTGTACTGGATGGAACACGAGACACCCTGCGTGATCTTCACCTTATCCCCCTCGCTGAAGTATTGTTTCTGGCTGCTGCTGCTCTTCTCCATGGCATCCAGTGAGCCCATGCCCTGGTGCTTCTTTTTTTGTTTTGTTTTGTTTTTTTTTTTTTTTGAGACAGAGTTTTGTTCTTGTTGCCCAGGCTGGAGTGCAATGGCACAATCTCAGCTCACCGCAACTTCTGCCCCCCAGGTTCAAGCAATTCTCCTGCCTCAGCCTCCAGAGTAGTTGAGATTACAGGCATGCACCACCATGCCCAGCTAATTTTGTATTTTTAGTAGAGATGGGGTTTCTCCATATTGAGGCTCGTCTCGAACTCCTGACCTCAGGTGATCTGCCTGCCTCAGCCTCCCAAAGTGCTGGGATTATAGGCATGAGCCACCGCGCCCAGCTCCCCAGTACTTCTTAAGCCGCACCCCGTCTGAGAAGTACTTGCAGGGGGCCTCCGTGATGGCAGCCAGCAGGCAGCCCATCATCACTGTGGAGGCTCCAAGTTCCAGGGCCTTGACCACATGCTCCACGGTCCTATGATGGGCACACCAAAGCGTTGGGCATACTTGGCCACCTTGTACACAGCAGTGCCCTGGGGCCGACCGCAGGCCATCACTTCCTGGGTGATGCAGATGGAGCTGCAGCCCATCCCCACGCGCAGCCCGTCCACACCAGCATCAATCAGGTTCTTTCCCTGGGCTGCTGTCACTATGTTCCCCCCAATCACCTGGAGGTTGGGGTACTTCTGTTTGATGTAATGCACTATGGCGATCTGATACACTTGAGTTCCCTTGGGATGAGTCCAAGATTATGAAGTCGTCGCCCGCCTGGGTGAGCAGGTCCAGGCAGTATTTGCCATCCTCATGAGTGCCCACAGCTGCATATATATGTATATGCTGCAACATATATATTGTCCAAGGTCCTGTAGAAGGACACCCACAGCAGCTGCTCGTGGGAATCCTTGGAGGCCAGCGGGTAGTCTCGGTTCTTCTTCAGGTCGGTGCAGGCGATAATGGCCACCAGCTCATCGAGATCGTTGACGATAGGCAGCTTCCCTTTCTTGCTACGCTGCAGGATCTCATTTGCCTCTTTCAACATCACGCCTGCTGGAGCCACCACCAGCTCGATCCTTGGCATCATCACCTCACTGAGGAGGGTGTTGTGATCCTTCTCAGCAAGAAAGTTGATGTCCGCGGAGGTGATGATGCCCACCAGCTTGCTACCCATGATGTCCGTCTCAGTCATCGGAATGCCAGAGAAGCCATGCCGCATCTTGGCCTCCAGCACATAACCACAGTGTGCGAGGGGCTCAGCACCACCAGGTCTGTGATGAAGCCCCCCTGTTCAAACTTCTTGACCTTCTGCACCTCTTGGCCTGGAACTCTGGGGTGCAGTTGTGGTGAATGAAACCAATACCTCCCATCAGAGCCATCGCAATGGCCATGTCGGCCTCTGTCACAGTGTCCATGGGGGAGGAGATCAGCGTCAGCGGCGTCTTCAGCGTGATCTTCCGGGTCAGGACTGAGGTCAGGTCCACCTCATCAGCTATGAAGTCTATGAATCCTGGGAGAATCGGGACGTCGTTGTAGGTGAGGCCGTCAGCGCTGGTGAAGAGCTGCTGTGGGATGAGCCCGTCCTCAGGCACGTAGCCGGTGCAGCAGTTGCTCAGATAGTCCGCCATGCTGCGGGAGACCCCGCGACCCCACGTAAACACCCGCGCAGCCGCTGCTGCTGCTGCTGTTGTTACTGTTGCCGCCATTTTTTAAATATAAAATATAGTCTAATTCAGGGCATGCTGTGGATCACAATGCCTCATCCTGCTCACTTGGGGTTATTTATTGCCGTCACACTTTCTGGTAAGAGACATAAACTGATGTAATATCAAAGGAACACCATAAGCCATTTGAACTGTTGAACTGATATAATCATGAACTGGGCAGGTGGCCATCCAAGTTTACAGCATTCTTTTGGGCATGATGGTATCTGATTTCTGCTTTCTTATCTCTCTCCATTTTGATAGCCTCAGGTGTATGCTGCAACATATATATTGTCCAAGGTCCTGTAGAAGTATGTGTAAAAATTGCAGGTTGAAAAGATTGGAAAATACTTTTAAGGATTAACCCTATGTAGTAACATTGTTCACTCTCAAAAGTTTTGTCTCAGTACGTGGATTACTTCCATCAAAAGAGGATTTTGGATTGGTTATTTTCAGCATAACCACTGAGAATGAGAGCTTCAGCCTGTGTATGCATTAGGTCCTACAAAAGGAAGACAGATACTGGGCAAGGATCCCCTCATCCTGATAGAATGGTTTGGGAGCCTTGCACCAAAGTTTCTCTTATTTGTTTTGATTTGTTCTCACCTTTACATAGGGAGGTGAGGGTAAACTAGTTATGACTGAACTGCTTATCTTTATTCACAGTGCTTATCAGAGGAGTATAAAATACTTCTTTTATCTTTTGATACAATTAGAAATTTATGTGTTATTAACATATCATTAATGAGCTTCTTTGGGTTTAGAAGGCACCAGAAATTAACAAACAATTAGGAATAAAATTAGGGTTTACTTTCCATGATTATCTTTTGCTTTTATTATAGCTTGAAAAAGTTTATAAATAAGTTGTTTTAAAGTTTTTTTAAAAATATTTTTTAAGACCTGGGGTCTCACTATGTTGCCCAAGCTGGTCTTGAACTCCTGGCCTAAAGCAATTCTCCTGCCTCAGCTTCCTGAGTTTTAAAGTTTTTATTTTTTTATTTTTATTTTTTAATTAAAAGCCTGGGATGGAGAAACTTGTTCTCTGCCATCAACAAAGCTTACCTCTTATCCACCTCTCTGACTTTGCTCATGTAATTCCTTTTGCCCAGTAGGCCCTTCTTCCTCCTTCTCTCCATTGTCTTCCCACATTTCTACCCACTAAATCCTCCAGGTCTTACAGGGCTGGGCTCAAAATGCTGAGTGCCTTCCTGAAACTCGGTGCTACTCTGACCAGCTGACAGGCCTAATTGTCTTTTTTGACACCACTTGAAGTCTTATGTTTTATTTATCTTTGTATTCCCAGTACCTAATAAATAACCTGTAGATAATAGGAGCTTTAGAAGTGTTTGTTGAATAGAGCAATGAAAGTAAGAGCATTACAGAAGACAGGAAGCCTAGAACAGGGTGTCTAACTATATGGTGGGGAAAAGTGAGTAGGAGGGAGATTCCAGAAAAGATACACCTTGAATGACATGTTTTTCTGTGTGTGTGTGTGTGTGGGTGGGATGAAGAGCTATTGGTCAGGTGGAAAAGGTAGGGAAGAATGGCCTTGGTAAATGGAGAACCAAGGAATCTGTGAATGTGAAATTTAGAGTACTTAGAAATATTTAGTATGGCTGAAACCAAAATGCAAAGTGAAGATGGAGGAAAAGAAGATGACTCTGAAATGACAGGCAGGTTGTATATTTGAACTTTGTGCCAATTAAAAAATCATTTAGGTTAGTAGTTAGAATTGCCTCTGTGATGCTCAGGTCAATAGTATAAATAAAAGTCAGGTGTGGGATTAGCTTTCATGAGCTCATTTGATTAGAAGAGCTTGAATATTTAATTCATTATGTAACAATTACCTCAGAGTAAATGGGCTGGGCATGATGGCTCACACCTGCAATCTCAGCACTTTTGGGAGGTCAAGGCAGGAGGATCACTTGAGGCCAGGAGTTTGAGACCAAACTAGGTAACATAATGAGATTCCTGTCTCTATAAAGAAAAAAAAAAAAAGTAAATGGGTGGGTATAACAGTTTGTGTTTGAAACAAATGTTTGCTGAAATCACAGACTGAAACCCTAGACATTTTAAGGTAATTCTTCCTGACATAGAGGTGAAAATACTGGAGTCTCAATTTAACCCTAAATGGTTAAATAGTGAATGTCCCATTTTGTGGGACAACTTTATAGCCAATACTATGCCTCAGTGAGGCTTTCCTGTTGTATCAGTTACTAACCATTTAAAAATGTGATACTTATCAGCTTATAAGTAGATAAGCTTTTTTTTTTTTTTTTATAATGACTACTTTTGTAAAGATTAAAAGAAATAATGTATGTAGAATGCTTAGTACCAAGTACCATGCCTGGCATACAATAGGTATTCAGTAATATAATATGTTTTTTTTCTCAAACTCCCAGAGAGCTGAGGAAGCTTCCACTTTATCATTATGAACTTTCAGAAGAAATAACATCCTGTCTCCAAGTGTACCCTTGCTAAAATATCCGCTAATTCTTTTGTAGAAGTTTGGAATTTCCTTGGTGATTTTAAACAAGATTTCCGCTCTCAAGTGTGTTCATTGTACGAGTCCTGTATCACCAAGGCTGATCTGAGTACAGAATCGTCAAGCCTCAGTGGGACTAAATATTTCAGGATTTCTTGTATTTGAAATAGTTCTGGCAAGGCACGGTGGCCCATGCCTGTAATCCCAGCACTTTGGGAGGCCAAGGTGGGTGGATCAGCTGAGGTCAGGAGTTTGAGACCAGCCTGGCCAACATGGTGAAACCCTGTCTCTACTAAAATTACAAAAAATTAGCCAGGCATGGTGGCAGACACCTGTAATCCCAGCTTCTCAGGAGGCTGAGGCAGGAGAATCGCTTGAACCCGAGAGGCAGAGGTTGCAGTGAGCTGAGAAAAAAAAGAATTAGTTCTGATCTCTTTCACCTCAAGGGTTCAATGAATCATGCGGAGGCCTTCCTGATATATGAGACAGATAGTTTTCTTTTGGATTTATGGTTGGGCAGCAGGTTTGCCTGAGCTACTAATACTGAGTAGGAATTGAGATGCCAGGTTGGAAAATGAAAACTTAAACCAAGTTATTGCTGGGCATAACTCAGGAGTATTGCATGCCTTTGGTTTGTCTTGATTAAATTCCAAGGTGATACAATCATCAGGCTATTAAAAATAATCATCTGACTATTAAAAATAATTAATTGCCTTGTTTTCTACTTAGCGGTATAATGGCTCCAGATTTGTAAGTTAGAATGCATTTTGCAATGGGACAATGAAACAGGGGCAATTGTTACTGTGATTTAATGTTTAGGGGGCAGGGCAGGTTGCCTGGCCACATCACCATGAGGCTTTTCAGGGAGTATTTCTTTGGATATGTGTAATTTTCCAAACCCCAATAACTAGAAAAATAGACTTATTAACCTACTTGGCCAAAATAAAGTAAAACTATAACAAATATAAAAGTAGAGGTTTTGTAGATCACATTTCTTCACCACAATCCAATTAAATTAGAAACCAATACTAAACATATGACCAGAAAATAACTACTTGAAAACTAAGAAACACTCTCCCAGATAAACCTTTGATCAAAGAGAAAATATAAGAGAAGCAAAAGGTTCTTTGGAGAGGAATAACAAAGTATACTTTATACCCAAATCTTTAAGGCATAGCATATACTCAAAACTTTACTTAGAAAAAAATTTATACCAGTAAATATCTTTATTATTCATGAAGAAGAGGACAGCAAAACACGTACCTGCCTCCAACACCTCATAAACAAAACAAACAACATACACACAAGGTAGGAAGAAGGGATGATAAAGTTACAAGTGAGAATTAATGGAATAAGGAAAAAATGTAGGACAGTTAAATAAGACAAAATACTGGAAAAAGTATAAGAGCAAGAGTATAACAAGATTAGGAACAAGGAAACAAATGCATTACAGATGCATGAAAGATGGGAAGAATTATAAGAATTATACATGGACACTCCTGGCTAACACGGTGAAACCCCGTCTCTACTAAAAAAATACAAAAACAAAAACAAAATTAGCCGGGCGTGGTGGCGGGCACCTGTAGTCCCAGCTACTTGGGAGGCTGAGGCGGGAGAATAGCATGAACCCGGGAGGCGGAGCTTTCAATGAGTGAGATTGCGCCACTGCATTCCAGCCTGGGCAACAAAGTGAGACTCCGTCTCAAAAAAAAAAAAGGCCAGGTGCAGTGGCTCACACCTGTAATCCCAGCACTTTGGGAGGCCAAGGCACGTGTATCACGAGGTCAGGAGACTGAGACGATCCTGGCTAACATGGTGAAACCCCATCTCTGCTAAAAATAAAAAAAATTAGCCGGGCATAGTGGCGGGCACCTGTAGTCCCAGCTACTCGGGAGGCTGAGGCAGGAGAATGGCGTGAACCTGGTAGGCAGAGCTTGCAGTGAGCCAAGATCGCGCCACTGCACTCCAGCCTGGGCAACAGAGTGAGACTCCATCTCAAAAAAAAAAAAAAAGTATACATGCACACTAGGAGCAAAACTATGGAAACTAATGTGAAAATATGGAAGAAACAAATAACTCATAAGCAAAATATAAATGACCAGAATTGATTCAAGTAGAAGACTCAAAAAGATCAATTACTGTAGAAGTCCCAGCCTCTTTGTGTCCCATTTGATATTTGCTCTGAGTTTCTTATTTTTAAGGAAGTATTATGTTAACAAGGCATTAAAATAAGATGGGATGGTGGCTCTCCACTTTGTATACCGGGTTTTGCTGTGGTCTCTTCTAGTGGTGTGTAAGGTGCTTGTGTTGTGAAGAGTAATTTTACTTGTGTTTAAATTTGAAAGGTGATGCATATAACCCTGCTTTCCCCCCATTTCTCTTTCAATGCAAGTTAACTTACACCTCCCTTTAAAGAACAGCATGCCAAGAACTGGCTGATAAAATGAAATATGTTCCTACCCTGGTGGCTGAGGACAGCCAACTCCTTCCAGTCTAGATGATGCTGGGAGAAGTACTTGATGCTGCTACCTCTGTGAGCTACTTGGTATACCAGTCAGTTGTACCATGGTCCCCAGAGGGACCTGCAGAAAGCTGGAAGTGGCCAGGCTGACTTGGTGGGTCAATTGAAAGTGTGTAAAGTCTGAATGCTCTTGGTATATGGTTTTGCCATTTTTGTATGGTGTAAATCTATAACTACTGTTTTAACATTTATTTTGGAACAGTCCCTTTTGTCAGGAAATGAGCTAAAAAAGTGAAAGTTTAATAAAAAAATAAGTAGCAAATTTCTGTTTCTCAAGGATGTTGGTGATGAATGTGTGATTCACAAATCTACTGAAGCTGCATCAATGTCTACTTCAAAAGTTTGTAATTGTTTTTAAGAATACTTTGCCCAAAGACAATGATTTAACACGTGTGGGCTGCAGGAGGTGTCATTTTATTTCATTTTGTGAAGCATGACTTTTCATTTAAATCAAATGACTCTTCTAAATAGATTTTCGCCATTTTCAATTTTAAGTTTTCTTATGAATATATAAAAAGTGAAGTAATAGCTGTTAATGTGTTTTGCTCCATTAGCAGAAAAGGAATTTTTTTTTTTTCTATAGTGACGAGGTCTTACTGTGTTGCCCAGATTGGCATTGAACTCCTGGACTCAACTAATTCCCCCGCTTTGGTTTACCAAAGAGCTGGGATTACAGGTGTGAGCCACCATGCTTGGCCTGGAATTTTTTTTTTTTTTTTTTTTTTTTTTTTTTGAGACAGTGTCTCACTCTGTCGCACAGGCTGGAGTGCAGTGGCACGATCTTGGCTCACTGCAACCACCACCTCCCGGGTTCAAGCAGTTCTTTGCCTCAGCCTCCGAAGTAGCTGGGATTATAAGTGCCCCCCACCACGACTGGCTAATTTTTGTATTTTTAGTAGAGATGGGGTTTCGCCATCTTGGCCATGCTGATCTTGAATTCCTGACCTCGTGATCCACCTGCCTCGGCCTCCCAAAGTGTTGTTTGTTTGTTTGTTTTGTTTTTTTAATCAAGATACATGTTGGGGAGATTTATTGTAAATCAATCGATGAGACATATGACTCATACTCAGGGATGTTACTGGAACTGGCTTTTTGGATCTTGCCATCACTAGAGGTAATGCTTGATTTTTTCACTGACCATAGAGATGTTTCAAAATCAGTGACATAAGCTGCACTCTATGTCCACTGAGGCCAACTGCAGCAACAAATGTATTGAAGTATTCAGTCCAGGGCAAAGATGCATGTTCCTCCGGCTTTTACTTTTGCTGTAAGGGCAGAAGTAAAGAAACATTTATTTTGGCTAACATAAAGTCATTATAAATGAAGCAGGAGGGCCGTGGAGGATAAAGAGCAGTAGCCTGACAATATTAGTGGGGAAATTAAGAAATGGTGTGTGCTTCATGTCGGCAGAGGTGCCATGAGCAGGATTCACATGTGCATCCATTGTGGTCATTTCTGGACTACCTGGTGGGAATCCTTGGAGAGGGGACTCCTCTCCAAGTGCATGAAATTGTTGAGCCCTGAGTGCCATAGTGAGACAAAAATGGAGCATAAGCAACACTGACAGGCTTCAGGTTCAAGTCGACGACAAAGAAACAATTGGAATACACTGTAAAGGCAGGCCATCCAACCTAGATTTCCCCTCAGTGAAGAAATCCCTTTCATTGTGTCCTGGAAAAAAGTACAATCAGTAGGATAGCCCCGTGGAAGCTTAATGTCAATCTATGGATTGGCTTCATCACAAACTTCCTAGGAAGCTTTAGATATCAACATCTCCCAGAGATTTTGATTCAGTAGGTCTGAAGTGGGGCCTGGGATTCTGTATTAAAAAAAATTTCAGCCAGGCATGGTGGCTCATGCCCATAATCCCTGTACTTTGGGAGGCCAAGGCAGGAGGATCACTTGAGGCCAGGAGTTTGAGATTCGCCTGGGCAACATAGGGAGAACTCTGTCTCTTCAAATAACAATTAAAAAAAATTAGCTAGGCGTGGTGGATGGTGGCACTTGGGGTCCAAGCTACTAGGGAGGCTGAGGCAGGAGGAGCACTTGAGCCTGGGAATTTGAGGCTGCAGTGAGCTGAGATGGTACCACTGCATTCAAGCCTGGGTGACAGAACGAGACCCTGTCTCAAAGAAAAAGGAGCAAGGTGAGCAGAGAATGGGAATGATGAAATGACCCAGATTTGGGGATTGGAGTGACGATGGAAGATTAAGGAATTAAAGGATTGTAGGATGCTAAATTCCAATCCCCAAATGGGAAGAGAAAAACATATTTACTATTGATTAAGTGGAAGTGGATCATCATAAAGGTCTTCATTCTTGTGGTCTTCATGTTGAGTAGGTTGAGGAGTGACAGATTGGTCTTGCTGTCTCAGGGGTGGCAGAGGTAGAAGAAAATCCACACATAAATGGACCCATGCAGCTCAAACCTGTGTTGTTCAGGGTCAACTGTAATTCAATATAAAAATAGATTTTTTTTTTTTTTTTTTTTTTTTTGAGACGGAGTCTCACTCTGTCACCCAGGCTGGAGTGCAGTGGCGCAATCTCAGCTCACTGCAACCTCCGCCTCCTGGGTTCAAGCGATTCTCATGCCTCAGACTCCCAAGATTACAGGTGGGCGCCACCATGTCTGGCTAAAAAATAGGAATATTAATAATATATTTAGTATAATTTTCCCCAAGCTTGCTAGATACTGGAGCACTGAAGATAGAGTATGTTCTCAATTACAATTATTATTTACAGAAAAGAGTCAATTGAAGGTGTCACAATTTCAAATTTATTAACTATGAAATGTACCTTTGAAGAAGATTACAGGAATATTTAGTAAATTAAAGATATTGACCAGGCGGCAGTGGCTCATGCCTGTAATCCCAGCACTTTGAGAGGCCAAAGTGAGAGAACCGCATGAGGCCAGGAGAAGTTCAAGACCAGCCTGGGCAACGTAGTGAGACCTTGTTTCTTACAAAACAAGAACAACAACAAAACAATTCAAAAATTAGCCAGACATGGTGGCATGTGATCATAGTCCTAGTTACTACAGAGGCTGAGATGGCAGGATCTCTTGAGCCCAGGAGTTTGAGGCTGCACTAAGCTATGATCTTGCTACTGTACTCCAGCCTGGACAATAGATGGAGATCCTATCTCTAAAAAATAACAATTAAAAAATGAAAGATATCATATTGAAAGTATAACATTCTTCATAAAAATAGCAATGAGTCAGTATTAGTGATAAACTGATGAAAGTATCTGAATATGTGCCAAGAATAATTATTTACCTTGTTTTATATATATATGTATTTTTTATGTGTGTGTATATATATATGTGTATCTATATACGTGTGTGTGTATATATACATATATATATATATATACATATATATATATATATACTTTTTTTTTTGAGACAGAGTCTCACATTGTTGCCCAGGCTGGAGTGCAGTGGCACCATCTAGGCTCACTGCAAGCTTCGCCTCCTGGGTTCAAGCGATTCTCGTGCCTCAGTCTCCCAAGTAGCTGGTATTACAGGCGCACACCACCACACCGGAATAATTTTTGTATTTTTAGTAGAGATAGGGTCTCGCCGTGTTGGGCAGGCTGGTCTTGAACTCCTGACCTCAGTTGATCCACCCACCTCGGGCTTCCAAAGTGCTGGGATTAGAGGCATGGGCCCCCCAGCCCCTTGTTATGTTTTTAATATAAACATTAATCAATATAAAAATATTTTAGGTTGGGTGTGGTGGCTCATGCCTGTAATCCCAGTGCTTTGGGAGGTCGAGGTGGGAGTATTTCTTGAGACCAGCCTCGGTAATACAGTGGGACCCCATCTCTACAAAAAATTTAAAAAATTAGCTGGGCATGGTGGCATGTGCCTGTAGTCCTAAGGCTGGAGAATTGTTCAACGCTGCAGTAAGATATGATTCCACCACTGCACTTCAGACTGGGCAACAGAATGAGACCCCATCTCTTAAAAAACAAGTTTAAGAAAAGTTTTATTTTTGAAGATCATTTTTGAACTATTTTATTAGTCCAACAATACAATAAAACCAATTATTTTGTCAATTAGTGTATATTTTAAAAGTTCCATCATTTCCATTATTTATTAGCATCTTCTTTCATTGTCAAAGTGTCCTGGTTTGAATGAGAAATTTATGGTCATTCTGTCTTTAAAAGTCAGATAATTACAATGTTATTCAACCTATCCCAGATTATAGAAAAAAATAAGTATTCCCCCAATTTGCTTTATGAAGCCAGCATATCTTGAATACCAGTATAGGATAATACAATATGATCAAGAAAGTATTATTCCAGGAATATGAAATTGGTTTCATATCAGAAAATCCAGCCACTTAGTCCATTATATAAAAACTATAAAAGATTAGTAATATTGATTGTATCAATAGTCTCTGAAAGCCATCTGATGAAGTTCTATTCCTAATAAAGTACTATTCCTAACAAAACTCTTAAGGAGGAATAGAAGGAAATTACTTAAACGTAATAAAGACTGTTTGTGAAAAAACTAGCAAACTTCATTATAAATGATGAACTATTAAAACAATTACATAAGAATCTAGATAGGAAAGCCTATGATCAGTTTTTTTAAATTTATCATTACCTTTGGTGTTCTAACAAATGCAACAAGACAAAAAGTTGTGTTTTTGATATATTTACTGGAAAATAAAAAATAAAAGCATCTTTTTTTGTTGTTGTTGCTGACATGATTGTGCACATACCACCAAACATGAGACTAAATTTAAAAAGCCACTCTAGTAGAATTGGTAAAATATTTGGGAAAATGGCTGGATGCAAGATAAATATATGAATTGAAATCTTCTGTTTTACCAGTGGGCACTAAGAAATGGGGATATGTGTTCCCTTAAATGATATGATAAAACTCTAAAAATAAACAATATAAAGTTCTTGCAATTCAGAATAGAATAGCAACTTAGTGTTAAAAAATTACATAAAATGACTATAAAGTTTTATATTGTCAAATGCCCTATTCAAGAAAAGTATGAAAAATAAGAATGCTATAAAGTCACTGTAATCAAGATAGTATTGGCTTAGCAATACACAAACATTAGAACAGAATAGATTCAAAAATAGTTGCTTCAGAGTAGATAAATCAGAATACAGATAATATTTGATACATATTGTGGTCCAATTCAGTGGAAAAATCATGAGTTAACAAATTATTCTGGCATAGGTAGTTCTCTATCTGGTTAAAATACAACAGGACTCATCATAAATGATACAAAGTGAATTCCCTGATGGATGAAAAACAAATTTAACAAATTACCATTTCACAGGAAAATCCAGAAAAACACACATGTACAAGCTAAAGCTTAGGAAACCTTTTAAAGGATGGAAAACCCAGGAACTATATAAGAAAAGGAATAAATATCAGATATATGCAGTCAAAACCCATTGTGTGGCAGCAGTAATGTTAAATCAATAGACATCAGCTATGTCTGGAAAAAGTATTTGTAAAATATACTGCAGGAAAAGTACTATTAACAATAATTTACAAAGAGCTCTTATAAATTGACAGGAAAAAATTTAAGCTGTACTAAAACAAAATGGATAGAGGGAATAAATAGATGGTTCACAGAGTTAAGATAGGGGTGTGTGTGTGTGTGTGTGTGTGTGTGTGTGTGTGTGTGTGTGTGTGTATCATACATAGTCTGATGAAGGAGCACAGAGAAAAATGCAAATGGTTAGAAGACCCCCTAGGAAAATAGGTGAGTGAGGAGCTGATGTGAATAGAAAGTAAAAAAAAAATATGTATGATGACACTCTTCTTGCAGGACTGTTGAAGGAGATGGGCATGTAAACAATGAGAGTGCTTTATACGTGCCACAGAAGAGGAATACAGGAAGCTGGGCTGGAGGAGGGAGGAAAAGACTGTGCATTGGAGTGGAGATGACCCTGGGCAAGGTGTTTTTCTTCACTATTGGCCTTCTGAGATAATTCCTTGCATCTGGGGTCATGGTGACTTTCATGAGATTAGCATGGTTTTGTTGATCAGGCGTAATAAGAATTTAAAAGTTATTTTCGAGACCCTTGGAAAAAGGTGCTTTGCAAAGACATGTCACTTGACTGTGATGATTGCTTATTTAAACCCACGGTCATGTGTTTAATCTGAATGTGACTCCTTTTCAGGGGAATGAGAAAGATCTATTTTAGGACTGCTGATATGTAAGAAGGACCTCTCCGAGGTTCCTTTTTGTTGGAGATGTAAACGTGGTGGCACACAGAGTCTGTGGTTGTTGCTGCACAGACTAAGGCATGAGATGTTTCTCGAGGGCTGTCCTGTGACATGTGCTGTGGGGAGATGTATTGAAACAACAGCCAACCCTCTTGAGACATATTCTCAAGGTATAGGTATGGAGGGTATAGAGGGTGGCAGGTACCCAGTAGTAACTGTAGAAGGGAAATAGACTTTGCCAGCATAGGGGATATTGTGTCTCCTGTAGGATCCAGGACAGGGTCCCTCCCCCTTGAGGTACCTGCATTTATTTCCCCATGCAGTGGTTCTCTGCTCCTCTCCATACTCCATCCATCCCTGGCTTCCATGTTTTCACTTTTGTTTCTTTGATCTGTTGCAGATGGTAGTGTTTGTTAACTCTGTCTGGTTTCCTGGTTTCATTGGGGACTTGGTGATTCACTATTTTGCGGGAAGAGGGAGGAGATGGGGAAAGGAGAAGGTGGAGAAAAGAAGGACGTGACATTTCTGTCATAGAGAAAACAAGTTTTTAAGGTGCCTTTCAAAATAAAGTC
Organism: Homo sapiens; assembly: GCF_000001405.40. NCBI lineage: Eukaryota > Metazoa > Chordata > Mammalia > Primates > Hominidae > Homo > Homo sapiens. Next base: position 18,380,501 of record NC_000006.12, read on the forward strand.
CTGCTGGAAAGTTAACATCTATAATATTCCTACCTGTGACTAATTTGGTGTCTGTAGGGTGGAGTCTGAATTCCAAGAATTGAGTTCCCCATCTGTTAAGCCAAGAAGTAATTTGAATCTTAATTCAGGGCAGTCCTCTGTGTCAATGCTGGATGCAAATGCACAGTACGAAGTGCTTCATTTCCTGTAAACTAGTTAATACATTGGCTGTGGTGATGACTATGGGAACACTGGGGATTTTTTCCCCCCAAAATTGATTGTCTTATGCAGGAATTTGGAGGTGACAGTAATAGCAGGATTACCGTAAACCTTGCAAACATAAGGATTATCAAGACAATTTCTTCTGACTCTCTAGTGGAGAATTTTAATTCAGGGCTAGTGCAGAATCATTTTTTTCTGGAGAGAGTGAGGTGCTGAACTCCACGATCTCATTGGTCCTTAACCCTAACTTGCTAGTGGTGTCATATAGGATATGAGAGTCCTGGACGACAGAATCCCGTGGAGTCTTGATCTCTCATTCAGCTCTCTATCCTGAGTCATTATGGGCTCTCATGTGGAATAATGGCAATGGCAGTTGGACATGATTCTGTTTTTTTCTTGTTGGGTCCCAGTTGGTTTTGACTTGCTCTGTAAAGCGTTGAGATACTTCATGTTAAGTATGAAATATAACCAAGATGACATGTCTCAAGTTTTGTGAAACTTATGTTATCATACTACATGACTGGATGTATGTCCTATATGTGTATGTCCTATATATGTGTATGTAACTGGATGATGTCCTCTGGTCACAGTTTTACTTTCTTTTTTTTTTTTTTTTTTTTTTGAGACAGAGTCTCGCTCTGTCACCAGGTTGGAGTGCAGTGGCACAATCTCAGCTCACTGCAAACTCTGCCTCCTGGGTTCAAGTGATTCTCCTGCCTCAGCCTCCCAAGTAGCTGGGATTACAGGCATGTGCCACTATGCCGAGCTAATTTTTGTATTTTTAGTAGACACAGGGTTTCACCATGTTGGTCAGGCTGGTCTCGATCTCCTGACCTTGTGATCCACCTGCCTTGGCCTCCCAAAGTGCTGGGATTACAGGCATGAGCTACCGTGCCCGGCCCACAGTTTCACTTTCTATGTAGTTCGATATCTGTTCTTTGACTGCTGTGCTACCCTGAATACATCTCTGGCATAGTTTCTATCATACTATTTTGTAATAGTCTTATTTTGTATTATCTTAAGCTTAGTTCTAGATGTGAAACACTCAATAATGCTGAACGAATAAGATCCACCCCGTTAGATGCAATAGAAAAATGCAAATTAAATTGTAGCTGTTTGGAAATGAGAAATGACCAAACTGTCAGAACACCATGACCTTTGCCTTATATCTGTTCCTGTGGAGAGAGATCTGCATCTATTGCAGAAGCTGGTTTCCCAGTACTTGCATTCTTATAGCTGATTTATTGAGACCGAACAAACCATTAAAAAAATTATGTTTTAACCACAGGATGTAAGGAAGATGTAAAGTCTAAGGTATGTGTTTCTAACGTAGGTACTAAGGTAGAATAGAAGGATAATATCAAGAACAACTCTAGACTTTTCTTTATTGATTAAAGAGAATAATTTTCCAAAGAAGAAATTCTACTTGTTGATTCTTATATAGGGGTAGAATGCACTTTATAATATATACCTATTATATGTTATATATTATGTAGTAGATACATATTATTTCAGTATCTTACACATATATAGGATCTGTAAATTATATTTATTTTTTGGCCTCACATGCAGGGAAAACTTTAAGTATGTTTTAGATTTATTTTGATTTGCTTTTATATGACTTTAGGTATATTATCAGTTAATACAATTTTTTTTTTTTTTTGAGACAGAGTCTTGCTTTGTTGCCCAGGCTGGAGTGCAGTGGTGCGTGATCACGGCTCACTGCAACCTCTGCCTCCTGGTTCAAACAATTTTCCTGCCTCAGATTCCTGAGTAGCTGGGATTACAGGCATGTGCCACCATACCTGGCTAATTTTTGTATTTTTAGTAGAGATAAGGTTTCACCATGTTGGCCAGGCTGGACTTGAACGCCTGACCTCAAATGATTCACCTGCCTTAGCCTCCCAAAGTGCTAGGATTACAGGCGTGAGCCATTGGCCAGGCTGGTCTTGAACTCCTGACCTCAAATGATTCACCTGCCTTGGCCTCCCAAAGTGCTAGGATTACAGGCACAATCTCTGGTGAACAATTTGTAATATGTCATTGCTCAGAAAGTTAAAAAATATTTTTGTAGATTGTAGTGTCTGGATTTTACATTTCAGTTTGAAATATGAAATGTTACATTTACTTATTTTTTTAAAAAATATATGTATTTATTTATTTATTTGAGACAGGGTCTCACTCTGTTGCGCAGGCTTGGAGTGCAGTGGTGTGATCACAGCTCACAGCAGCCTCGACCTCCTGGGCTCAAGTGATCCTCCTGCCTCAGCCTCCTGGGTAGCTGGGACTACAGGTATGTGCTGCTATGTCTTGTTAATGTATTTCTTATTGTTTGTAGAGACAGGGTCTCACTATCACAGGTGCTCAGGCTAATCTTGAATGCCTGGGCTTAGGCCATGCGATTTTCCCAAAGTGCTAGGATTACAGGCGTGAGCCACTGTGCCTGGCCTACCTTTATTTTTGTAGTATAAAATAAGCAATTTTTTCTTAGACTTGTTTGAGGGCTCCTTTTTTTTACCTACCCTTTAAATACTGATGTTCTTTTGGGTTCTCTTTTTTTAACCCTTTCTTTTCCTTCCCCTTTCCCTTTCTTAGATAAATAACACTGACTGAGTTCCTAATGTGTATCAGGCCAGGACCATGGTGTACAGCTGAGCAGGTTGTGCAGTACACAATTCCAGGAGCTGCCAGTCACTGCCTCCACCCCAACCACCACCCTGGCCCATCAAGATTTGTATCGTGCAGGCATCTCCGTGTATCAGGCACTTTGGTAGCTACTTAAAAAAACCACTTTTACCCTCACAACAGCCTATGAGATGAATGTCATCATTCTTATTTTATAGATGAGAAAACTGAGTTTCGGGTATATTAAATAACTTCATTAAGGTTACATAATAATGAGTGGGTAGTGGAGTTTGCCAAGGTCCAAATCCTCTGCTTCCCTCTATAGCATGTGGGTTGTCTTAGCTTTTGGTAATCTCATCTATGGCCACCACCTAAATGATGGCAATTCCCAAATGACTCTCCACCCTAGATCTCTCTCTGTTGATAGCCTACTGGTCAGTTTTTCCAGTATGCCCCAGAGGCACTTCTGATTCTATAGATCTTAATTTGAATTATCATGGTTTCCTTACCATCACTTCTCTTTTATTCCCCCTCTTAGTGGTGCCAGCAGTTGGGGCTATTCTTTTTCTCTTATCCCCCTGCATCTGATATAGTTTTGATGTGTGTCCCTGCCCAAATCTCATATTGAAATGTAATCCTCATTGTTGGAGGTGGGGCCTGGTAGGAGGTGATTGCATCGTGGGGGCAAATTTCTCACGAATGGTTTAGCACCATCTCCCTAGGTACTGTCCTGGGGATAGTGAGTTCTTGTGAGAGCTGGTCGTTTAAAGGTGTGTAGCACCGCCTCCCTCCCCCCTCCCCCCGAAACGCTCTCTTGCACCTACTTTGACCATGTGACAGGCCTCTCCAGAGGGCCAAACAGATGCCAGCATCATGCTTAAAGCCTATAAAGCCTGCAGTACTGTGAGCCAATTAAATCTCTTTTCTTTATAAGTTACCCAGTTTCAGGTATTTCTTTATAGCAATGTGAGAATGGACTAATATAACATCCAATCAGATACCAAGTTCCATCACTTCTGTTTCTGAAATCTCTCTCCATTGGTTCCCTTCCTTTGCATGGCAGTTGTCACTGCATTAGCTCAGACCCTCATTCATTTATTCTGGATGTATCAGCTCTGTCTGAATTATGAAAAATTTCACCTAGAGTCTCATGTCTAACCCTTTGTTTTAGCTGTTTGCTCAGCCTGGTTTACCCTTCTCTACCACACCTATTGGGCTACTTGAAGACATAGATTTAAATCACTGATATGGTTTGGATCTGTGTCCCCAGCCAAATCTCGTGGTCGAATTGTAATCCCCGATGTTGGAGGTGGGGCCTGGTGGGAGGTAATTGGACCATAGGGACAGAGTTCTCATAAATGGTTTAGCACTATCTCCTGGTGCTGTTTTTTGTGACAATAAGTTCTTGAGAGACCTAGTTGTTTAAACATGTGTGGCATTTCCCTGCCCCACCCCGCCTTGCTTCTGTTCCAGTCACGTAAGACATGCGTGCCTGCTTCCCCTTCACCTTCTACCATGATTGTAACCTCCCTGAGGGCTCCCCAGCCATGCTTCCTGTGCAGCTGCAGAACCATGAGCCAATTGAACTTCTTTTCTTTATAAATTACCCAGTTTCAGTTATTTCTTTATAGCAATGTGAGAACAGATTAATATAATCACCTTCTCAGAGAAGACTTGATTCTTTTCATCAACTCCTTTCCTTTAAATTCTTCTTCTCTGTGCTCCCAATAGCACATCATGCTTAAGTCTATCATATCACACATTATGTATCACTCACACATTGGGTACAACTATCAGTACCCTGATAATTGATTTGCTTGTCTTACTCCTTCCCTGGATTGAGAGGTCTTTGAGGACAGGGAGACCATGTCTAATATCATTATCTTAATACAACCTAGCAGATTGTCTGGGAGGAAATCAATAAATGCTCCAGAGAATGAATATCCATTCACACTGTAGACTCCTTAGGAAGATCTGAGAGAGTTTGTTCACATAATATTATAGCATTCAACGTGTTTATTTAGTCTTATTAAATTTTGACTGCAATTTAAAAAAAATTTGCATAGTTGCATGGTTGAAAATAATCAGTGGTGATGTTACTCAGTTGTGCAAAATATTTGGGATAATAGGCAGCACTATTCGTGCTTATGTTCTCATTCATATTGGCAGCAGCTTCTTCCCTTATCCTGTTAACAAGAGATTATAATTTATGAATGGTAATTTGAAAAGTGGACTCTGTGTTGAACTTTGGTTTAAGGCTCAGGAGATTTGCATCAACACCAATGAATAAACTAACCTCTTAGAGGTTGCTTTTTATCTTTCCTAGTTCCTGTCCACCAAAATGGTCACTATACCAAGAAAATTCCTTGAAATAGATTATCTCAGAACCTAAGCCATTGCTAAATCTGAAGGTTGGACTTCCTTTGGGATGGTTTTCATTTACATTCACCTTCCTCATGTAACTCAGATTTAGGTCTCATTCTAGCTTGGCCTGTGTCTGGTTTGGGCCAATCTCTTAAATCTTCCTGGACATCAGTTTCCTTATTTTTTTTTTTTTTTTGAGACAGAGTTTCGCTCTTGTTACCCAGGCTGGAGTGCAATGGCGCAATCTCGGCTCACTGCAGCCTCTGCCTCCCAGGTTCAAGCGATTCACCTGCCTCAGCCTCTCGAGTAGCTGAGATTATAGGCACCCACCACCACGCCCAGCTAATTTTTTGTATTTTTAGTAGAGACGGGGTTTCACCATGTTGGCCAGGCTGGTCTTGAACTCCTGACCCCAGATGATCTGCCCGCCTTGGCCTCTCAAAGTGTTGGGATTACAGATGTGAGCCACCGCACCCAGCCCAGTTTCCTTATTTTTAAAATCAGGTTATTTGCTAAAATAGCTAGGAAGACTTTTCAAGCTCAAATATCCTACCGTGGGTTCTTTTATCATCTTATTGCCCCTGTCCTTTTTCTCTTCCTCCCTGACTGGTGAGCTGGTCCTCCTACCTGCCCTAGCATGGCACATGTAGATACACTGTGTTATTCAGCACTTTGCTTTGACCTAGAGGTTTTCTTCAACTTGGAGGGCTGAGAAGCAATGTTTGCTTGTGTCGTTTGGAATGGTGCCTGTTGGCGTGCACAGATCCTTTCCACAAAGGGCCTGTGAGTCCCTTCCTTTTAGGAAGCACATTCCTGACAGTGGTTGCAAAAGTAGAGAGGGATTGCAGAGTGAACACAGATTCTTGTGTCAGAGCGACATTCCTAAATGGCAATGTTCAGCAGACTTAGGTGATTGTGATCTATGGGGGATATGGGGAATGAGTAGGTATGCGATTCATTATGAATGTCACACAAATGAAGTGTCCAAGGGTTTGGAGCAAGGAAGCACTTCATAATACCTCACAGCTTCTGGATTATTTTGTTACATTTTTGTTTAATTGAGGGTACAACCAGTTAAGTTACAAAGCACTTCAAGTGAAATCATTGTTTCATCAAGAAGTGTCTGTATTTTATGAGGTAAACTAAGATTATTCCCGATTTGATTCACAGGTATTCTAATTTCATCATTAGATGCAAAAGGACAAGTGAGGTACAAGCTGTTTTTTGATGAGATGTGCATGGGAAGTGTTTCTATAAAACAGTTGTCTGCCACGTGGGAAGGCAGGTCTGGGCTGTTAGAAGTAGAAGAAAGAGATTTAAAGAGCTGGGAAGGAGGGAGAAAATAAAGAAAGGTGGCCTGTGAGGATATGTACAGACAGAGAGGTAGCAGGCGCTTAAGGCCAAGAGGTGAGCTGTCCCTGTCTGGGCAGAAGAAGTGCGCTAGGGGCAGCTGCCTGCACCCCCTGCTCTGAATTCCTGCAACAGCGGTCCCAGGAGAACAAGAGACAGGTCCTGACAAGCAGTAGAGTCGGTGCAGCGCGCCCGGGTTCGGATAGGGTTAAGGCCAACACCTGCAGCTGAAGTACGACCCACATGGGAAGTAGGAAGTGCGGCGCCTGAGCTTCCTGTATAAATAAACGCGCTGCTACCGCTGCTGGCGAGCTGTGCCCCACGCTCCCGCTGCAACAGTCCCGGGCATCGCAGCTGCCAGTCAAGGCTAGGAGGCGGTCGGGGACTCCGCCTCCTCCCGACCCGTAGGTCTGGGAGCGCAAGTCCTGTTGCAGTCTTGCAAAGTGTAAAGCTGTCAGCCGCAGAGCACGGAGGAAAGACGGAGAGAATGGAAGAGCTCCTGTCCGGTGTGCCAGCAGCCCGGACTGGCGGTGAGCGCGAGGGAGGCTACTGAGAAGCCCGGCGACGGAGGAACGCAGGTCTGCTGCCAGGTAGGTTTAGCGAGCTTTTTAAAGGCTACAGGCGTTGCAAGACCGGAATGGTGTTGCTGGACTAAGGAAAAAGGACAGGAAACTCACTGTGACACCACAATTTTTCGATTTTCTGTCTCTAGTGCTCAAACCATACAGAACTGAATTCATTCTGAATGCCTTAAACACCTGTTAACTTAGAAGAAAAATGCCTTTGTTAAAGGAAAGTAGTTTCATTTCTAATAAAACAGTTTCTATAATAGAATGTATTGTAGAATCCGAGATTAGACCAGACCTCTCCCTAGGTCTTAAGGGGAGACCAAAAGTTGGCATAATCTCGGATTATGCATTATAGTGCTTATTTTATCAGGTAATTGCTAATGAAACAGTGAAACTCTGATACTACGAGAGCCATTCTCAAATTTAAGTTAAAATCGAACTGATTGTCGTTTGTGCAGGGAAAAGGTAGGTATCTTTTGCTTATTCTTTCTAAAACACCTTTTGTTTTTCTCATGAGTTTCAAGGATCCTGCTGTAAGTCTACTCCTCATGCATATACACTATTCACATAAAGATTTCCCAGAAATTAATTCCCTTCTCTGGGAAATGTTCTTTTTTCATGTTCTCATAACAGACTGTCAGTTTCATATTGCTTTCTGCCACATGTATCTTATCAAAACATTAGCTCTGAGGTTCTTAACAGGACTATCTCTGCTCTTCCGATTTGGCATTTCTGGACGTTTATTTGAACATTGAGAGGTATAAATTAAATGGCAATGTATCTAACATTTCTGAGGAAGCAGATTAGGGGGTGTCTGTGCCCAGAAGCAAAATAAATGAACTTTGGGATGACTCAGTTTTTAGGGTGTGGGTAAGAGGCAAAAGGAACCTAGCCAGTCCTAACTGAGTTGCTGGCTAATTAGAGTATCTGTCTGCCGCAGCTTTCACTGAAATGAGCCTCTTGGTCCCTTTCACATCAAATCCCTCTGTGAGTCCCTCCTTCTCCTTAGTTTATCTTTCCTTCACAACCTGGGTCCTTTTCATGGACAGCAGTGCCTTAAATACTTCTAAAACTATCCTGAGGGGGAGAAAAACCTATAGCAGATCCACAAAGCCACTTGTAGATAATTGTATTATGAAATCCAAGGTCATGGTTTCACACAACTCCTGCTCTGCCCTTGCACACCTTTGACTGGCATTTTTTTTTTTATTTTTGTCGTGGGCATAAACTTAGAAAAGTGGGAAAGGGAAAAACCTCAGTTTCAAAAGTAGTCTCTGACTAATTAATTATCTTGATTAAAAAAAGGTAAACATATATAGTGAACGTGAAAAAGATGTTGAGTAGTAGAATTGGGTTGCTTGGCTTTTTATTTAAAACAAACAAAACTCAACCAAAAAAACCCCCCAAAACCCCAAACAATCACCCTAGATAACTTTCTCCTACACTACTGTGCTGGAAGTCGGGCTTGAGTGTGGTCAAATCCTGCCCATTTACCCAGAGTTTTACAAATATTTACAGTCATCTATGCCAAATATCTTTGTGCTGAGTCCCAAAGAACATTCTCAGCATTCAAAAGGCCCATTCTCATGAATGGTTTCAGTTCATTGGCAATTTAAAGGCATTCAGGCTTCCAAACTAGGTCAGCTTAAGACATGTCTTTTTAAAATAATCAGTTTTTGGGTCTCAGATTATGAACCAGGTTTTTGGAGCCAAACTCTACAGCAGAGAGAAGAGTATGCTCTCTCTGGAAAGAAAAAGCTTATTTTATCTACCTGGTATGACCATTTAACTTCCTGAAAAACGTCTTTCTCCTCAGTAGTATGAATATTTTTCATCTGAGGAGGTGCACTTAAAATTTCCTTCTTGAAAAGTCATTTCAATATTTTAGACGTTTAGAAACATTTATATGTATGTCAGAATCCTTTCTCCGAAGTGTTTCTGCTAATCCTGGCTTCTTTGTTTCCCCTGGCCTTGACTTTATGACATTACTTTCTTGGAGAGTGAAGTTTTTAGTGTTTGAAATCTCCAGTTTGAGATAGAGGTCAGGAATCATGCTGAACCCAGATGTTACTGAAGGAACAAAGTCTGAGCAGTTTTGGGACTAAGCCTACTTTGTACAACTGATTATTTTGGATGTGGGAAAAGGGCCAAGCTGCCAGACAAGTCATGCTTTTCACTTGGACTTTGGGGAATAGGTATCTGTAGCCATTGCTCCTAAGTACTGAAACATTTCTTTCAGGGGTGCCTACCTTAATTTATAGAAGCTCCTTACCTGAAACAAATGGTCAATATTTTCAGCTTGTGAATTTCTGGAAGTGAATACAGATGAGAACCAGGCCTTTAATATTTTCTCTCCTCCAAGTACAATCAGAAAAGTTATCCACTCTACTACTGAGTGACTGATTTGCTAGGTGCTAGGTTAGATGCTGGGATATAAAGATGGCTAAGATGTGGTCTCTGTCCGGAAGAAATTCTCATAAGGTCAGAAGTGACTTGGGTCTAGAGTGGTAGTTCTGAATTCACATTGCTTTGCCAGATTATAAAAAGTACTTCGATGTTTGTCACCTCGATCATCTTAATTTTCTTGGTAGTGTTACCTTGACCATTTGACCATTAAGAGGTATATGACACCTAAGTTAATTTATGTAAATATTTTAATTCATAATTTTTACCTTTAGGTGTATGTGGGAGGTCTTGGACTAAAGTTTTAGTTTTATTAACTTTGGCATTTGCTATTTACCCAGTCGGTGAGTACTTTGGAACCTAATGCATCATACCATAGTTGTTATTAAAAAATGGATAACTATATATTAAATGAGTAAAAATGACCAATGCTTCTGCAACGTGGAATGAGGATCTTCTCATCTATGAGCAGATCTCTTTCTTGAATTCAAAACACAGCAATCTAAGTGAAATAGACTTTTCTTATTCATAGCTGGAGATACTTCTGATCACATGGCTTGGAGTATTTATTAAGAGCATACTTTGAAAGCCATGTCCCATTGTTTTCTAAATCTTTTGAAGTCACGAGTTTGAGTCCCAGCCCTTCATCAACTTGTTCTTTGTTTTTCTTGGGAAGATAAAACAAGACAACTCGTTTCTGTCTGTTGAACTTGTGGCTGAAACCATAAACCCACACATTCTCCTGCATATGATTATATGAAATCCTCTGTTGAAAACCTCCTCAACTAGTTGACTCTTAATAAGTAGGAGCTGGGTTTAATCACCTTTACATCCCTAGCACCTAATGTGTAGAATTTGTTCTTTGTGTGTTGACTTTGTTTCCTTCATGATAAATTCCTGTTATAGGAAATTAATTGGCAAAGACATACAAAAATCTACACCTGCACTTTGCTCAGGTGGGGTGAAGATTCCTCTTCCAAACTGGTTTCCAATTTGTTTCTAATTAAAATTTCTATATGAAACTTTTAACTTTAACAGGAGGGGGTAATATTGGCACATGCTTTTATTCATTTGAAAAAAAATTTTTGATTTAGATATTCGTGCTTTAGCGGCTCTGGTTTTCTGGTAATGTCCTGACCCAAGAAATCAGCCTGGCTCTTGCTCTATAAGGCTCTTTGAAATACCACTTCTCCTTGATTGGTCAATTACATCATTGTCTGACCTGCCTTTAAGTGGCGTTCCTTCCTGCTTCTGAGCTTTGTTGTTATGCCAGGCATAGGGAAGAAAATTATTTAGCAGGGCTGTGTGAATAATTGTGGGAGGCAGGGAACCACTGATTAAAACAGGAGTGGGCAAGGCACAGTGGTGATATTGAAGAGGTAGCTACCATGATGAATGCAAAATTGCCATGCCAAAAATATCATTGAGCTGTTATTCTCATATTCACTCCCACCTTCTTTGATAAGTTTATATTGTTTGGAAAACTGGGAATGGATTTCTACCTCTTGGGCCTTACCCTGTAGGGTAATGAGAACATGGAAAGAAGGCAAGAAGAAATGTGCTTTTAAGAAAAAGCCAGTTGCGGTGGCTCATGCCTGTAATCCCAGCACTTTGGGAGGCTGAGGTGGGCTGATCACGAGGTCAGGAGATCGAGACCATCCTGGCAAACACGGTGAAACCACATCTCTACTAAAAATACAAAAAAATTAGCCAAGCGTGGTGGTGGGCGCCTGTAGTCCCAGCTACTCGGGAGGCTGAGGCAGGAGGATGGCGTGAACCCAGGAGGCGGAGCTTGCAGTGAGCCGAGATCGGGCCACTGCACTCCAGCCTGGGGGACAGAGCCAGACTCCATCTCAAAAAAAAAGGAGCAGCAGTTTGCAAATGTTAAAACTAGATGTGCCAAGGGCCAGGCGCGGTGACTTACGCCTGTAATCCCAGCACTTTGGGAGGCCGACGCGGGAGGATCACGGAGGTCAGGAGATCGAGACCATCCTGGCTAACATGGTGAAACCCCATCTCTACTAAAAAAAAAAAAAAAAAAAAAAAAAAATTAGGTGTGGTGGCAGGTGCCTGTAGTCCCAGCTACTTGGGAGGCTGAGGCAGGAGAATGGCGTGAACCCAGGAGGCAGAGCTTGCAGCAAGCTGAGATAGCACCACTGCACTGCAGCCTGGGCGACAGAGCGAGACTCCGTCTCAAAAAAAAAACGATGTGCCAGATGTTCTGTCCTCTGTAGGATTTGGAGTTAGCTTATCACAACGTCATGTACATTGTTGGCCATGCTTGGACATCAGCACCAATATATATTTTGTAAGAAAAAATATTAGATCTCACTAAATTAGTTGTAACAGACTTTATTCATAACCTAATTTCAAGCAGCAAAGAGATTGTTTGGAAAACAGTTCTTGCTAATACTTTAAGATGCTTCTCCTTCCTGATGAAGTGCCTACTTTTTTTTTTTAACCCACAAAAAGGTTAATAGGGCTATATTTGCATATCAGTTCCATTTTTAGAAGGTTAATAGTCTCCAAGTTACAAAGTTGTGATCTCATTGCCATCCTAGAAACTGTTGAAATGACGATGTTAAAACTAAGAAATTATAGACTAAATAAAGTGCTTTTTGAGCACTTTAAGCCATGAAACAGTGGCGAGAAAACAGAAGTCCTCTTCTCTACCACAGGAGGCACAGTGATACAATACTGCCACCTCACAGAGCCTGAATAGGTGAATATTTACTTTCTTACATCTAAGACCTAAATATTTCCTGGGTTTGTTTATGCTAGAGGATATTTTCTAATCTATTTCATTTTTTCAAATAATGACAACTTATGTGTAATATCATGTATGTACTCATTGAGTTTGAGCATTATTCTTTTAAAAAGGGCAGATCATGAGGTCAGGAGATCAAGACCATCCTGGCTAACATGGTGAAACCCCGTCTCTACTAAAAAATACAAAAAATTAGCTGGGCGTGATGGCGGGCACCTGTAGTCCCAGCTACTAGGGAGCCTGAGGCAGGAGAATGGTGTGAACCCAGGAGGCAGAGCTTGCAGCGAGCCGAGATCGCGCCACTGCACTCCAGCCTGGAGACAGAGTGAGACTCCATCTCAAAAAAAAAAAAAAAAAGTAATTAATAGATATACAGTTTATTTAAGTAATTGCAGTTCCCTGACTACGAGAGGGGCAGCCTATGTTTCCATTTGTTCATGTCCTCTTAGGTTAGGGCATGCATTAGAACTGTTTTTCTGATTGAAAGAATGTACGCTGGTTCATCTTGTCCTTGAATGACCAGAGAGCTGGTTGGAGATGCAAGCGGAGAGTAG